>NC_000006.12:164919274-165070790 GCF_000001405.40 Homo sapiens
AAGGGTGCCACGAGGGCAGGCCTGAAGCCTGGGGCCTCAGGAGCTGGCTTGGCACCGGGGGTCATTGATACTCTATCTGTAGGGACTAGCCTGGAGGCTAGGCCTTTCGGTGACAAACTAATGTCTAGAGTCACGCTGGCCAGCCTGGTGCTGGGGAGGGCCTGAATCCTGAGGCTGTGAGGGCTAGCTCAGTGCTAGGGCTCACCCAAAGACTGACTTTACAGGGCATCCCTGGAACCTGATGCTGCAGAATCCTGGCTGGTCCCAGGGCAGGCTTGGAGGCTGAGTTCACAGATACCAGCCTGGAGTCATGGGCTTCAAGGGAAGCCTGGCACTGGGCAGCCTGCAGCCTATATTTACAAGAGCCAGCCTAGAGGCTAGGTCTGTGGGTGCCTGATGATTAGGGCTGCAAGAGTTGGCCTTGTGGGTGGGTATGGTGGGGCTGCCCAGAGACCAAGTGTGACTCACAGGCACAAATCATATCTTTTAAAAGCAAATTTTAGAAAATTAACCATATAAAATCTGCGAGCCAAAAGTGATTCAAAGAAATAATACTGAAAATTAAGTGTCTGTGATACTGTAAAAACTGAAAATTAGCCAGTCTGTGATTAAATTAGGTCAAAATCTAAAAAGTTAACTGGAGGAAAAAATCAATATCTAGAAATTAATAAATTATGTTTATAACACATACCAAAGATATATCTTAGGTTAAAATCAGTAAACACGGCCAGGAGTGGTGGCTCATGCCTGTAATCTCAGGACTTTGGGAGGCCAAGGCAGGCAGATCACTAGGTCAAGAGATCGAGACCATCCTGGCCAACCTGGTGAAACCCCATCTCTACTAAAAATACAAAAAATTAGCTGGGTGTGGTGGCGTGCACCTGTAGTCCCAGCTACTAGGGAGGCTGAAGCAAGAGAATCGCTTGATCCCAGGAGGTGGAGGTTGCAGTGAGCCAAGATTACGCCACTGCACTCCAGCCTGGTGACAGAATGAGACTCCTTCTCAAAAAAAAAAAAATCAGTAAACATACACACACATACATATTCGAAGTGATAAATTTGCCTCAAATTATTGTTTAGCTGCATTTATCATTGGAAGTTAATCTGTTTAAGAAGTCAGGACATGGCCGGGCGTGGTGGCTCACACCTGTAATCCCAGCACTTTGGGAGGCCGAGGCAGGCAGATCACGAGGTCAGGAGATCGAGACCATCCTGGCTAACATGGTGAAATTCCGTCTCTACTAAAAATACAAAAAAAAAAATTAGCCGAGCGGGGTGGCGGGTGCCTCTAGTCCCAGCTACTCGGGAGGCTGAGGCAGGAGAATGTCATGAACCCGGGAGGCGGAGCTTGCAGTGAGCCGAGATGGCGCCATGGCACTCTGGATGCTGGGCGACAGAGCAAGACTCCATCTCAAAAAAAAAAAGGAAGTCAAGACAGGAAATAATTAATATAATAAATTTATATAAAGTAAAAATAAGCATATAACACTAAAAGCAGAAAGCAATAAAAAAGTTGATTATAAATGATCAATAAAGATAAAATTGTAATTTGAACTAATTTGTTCCTAAAATATACAAATTGTTCCTTTAATGATTAGAATTTTTGAGAGAGAGAGAAAGAGAAAAAAATTAAGAATTAAACAGAGATCAACCCAACAGGTTCTATAGATATTAAAATGATAATAACGGATACTATGAACAATTTTGCATCAATAAATTTGAAAAGTTAGGTGAAAGGAACAAACATTTGCATATAGTAATAAAACTTTCCAAAGGGACTCAAAAGGATACAGAAATCTGAATCATCCTATATTCCTTAAACAAATTCAAATAATGATTTAATTTATCCTCACACATGAAACACCAAATCCTTACTATTCAACAGAATTAACAAAATATTCAAGACAAATTAGTTCCAATGTATATAAGCCCTTCCAGAGAATTAAAAGTGAGGAAATATTTTCCAATTTGTGAGTATGGAAAAACCATAATACTAAGACAAACTTGGACAGTAAGAGATAGCAAATTAAGTAATCAGATTCATTATCATAAATACAAACGTCTAAAAACAGTATTATACAATTTAATATATAAATATATAAAATAAACATATTATGCTCAAATTAGATTCATTTCAGAATTTTAATGTTTATTTCAAATTTAAAAATCCGTTAGTGAAATTGATAGTATTGGACAAAATTCAACATTTGCTCATAATTTATTATTCTGGAAAGCTAGGGGTAAGGACATCTCCCTTAACTTTGGAAAAGGTTACTACAAAAATACAAACAACAATAAAAACAACTCCAGCACAGAAGAAGTATGACTATAAAAAGTCTAAAATAATTCCTCTAAGACCAGTGAAAGGACAAAAGTGTATGCTAACACCACTTTTATTCAACATTGTATCAAGGTCCCAAGTAGCACATAAAACTAAGAAAAAAAAAGTATTATAGGGATTGTCTTGTTTCTATATTGTCCTATTTCTACGGAGAAAACTTGCAAGCATCTACAAACATATTATAGATCTTATCAAGCTGAATCTGAAATCTACATAGAACAATAAAGAGTTAAGAACACTCAAAAATAGTCTGAAAAGGAAAAATATACGAGGATTTTTCCTACCAGACAAGAAGGTTCTATAAAGTTATAGTACCTAAGACTGAAGTCTGAGTGCAAAGGATGACAAAACATAATAAGAAAAACCAGCTAAGGATATTCATATATATGGAAAATTCAGGCATATAGAAGTGAAATTACAGAATGGTGTGCAAATTACACAGCAGTCAATAATGATGCCATTACAATTGGCTATGTAGCAGAAAAAATGTAACTGGATTGGTATATAACACTCATATATAATATAAAATTATATTTGTATAAATTTAATTTGTATATAACACTAATAATATGAAAATTATTTCTGTATAGATTAAATACTTAAAAACGTTAAAATATTGAAAGAAATTATAGAGTTTGTAATCTTGGGAATTATTTTTTAATGACAAAATAGACACTGATTAGTTTCACCAATATAAAAATTAGTTTCATATCTAGACACACCATAAGAAACTGAAAAGATAACATTTATTTTTGGAGAGGATATTTACAGCACATATAACCAAAAAAGCAAACTAGATTGTACATCATAAACAACAGTATCAAAGGTAAGAAAAGATAAACCTAATAGAAAAATGAATGGAAGATTTAGACTAGCAGTTCACAGCAAACTAATCCAAATATAAGGTAAACTAAACTATGAAAAAGAATCTAACTTCAAAAGCAATCAAAAAGTGTTCCTTTTAAATATATAATTTATTTCTCACACGTAACATTTGCACAAATTAAAATGTTAAGTGTTACCAAGTATGTAGAGTCATGTGAACAGTTATTTGCACCATTAATAATCATACAATTTCACACAATTACATTGAATATTAATTTAGCAATAGTAAGTTGAAAATGCAAATACCTTACAGCTCAGTAAATATGTTTCCTAATATTAATACTCTAGAAACAATTATTTTACAAGTTCACAAGTGGACATGGCCAATGAATGTTCTCTAATTGTATTTTTCCCATGGAAATGACAAATATATCTACTAATAAAAGAATGTTTACATAGACAGTAGTATTTTCAAGAAATATGATACTGTCGCAGGGTGTGGTGGCTCACGCCTGTAATCCCACCACTTTGGGTGGCTGAAGCGGGTGGATCACCAGGTCAGGAGATCGAGACCATCCTGGCTAACACGGTGAAACCCCGTGTCTACTAAAAATACAAAAAATTAGCCAGGTGTGGTGGTGGGCACCTGGTGTAGTCCCAGCTACTCGGGAGGCTGAGCCAGGAGAATGGCGTGAACCCAGGAGGCAGAGCTTGCAAAGAAATATAATACTGTCCCAAAATGAAAATATAGGAATCACACCTCCATACATCAACATGGATTAATCTCACAAACGTTGATGGAAAAAAAATTAGGTTTACATCAGTTATGTAGTATATAAAATATGCAAGATTATATCATACAATGCTTAATGATAAATATATTTTTAAATAAAAATAAGAAGGAAATGTGTCAGTATCATCAACACCAATTCCAAAAGTTATTTTCCTCAGGGAAAAGGACGTCATAAAACGTGATTGGGAAGATGTTCATTGAGTGCGTGGAGGAATGAAGGAGGACTTCCTCCACAGTCGCAATATATACAATTCTATTGTTATGGGGTTTTCTTTTAGTGACAGAGTCTCACTCTGTTGCCCAGGCTGGAGTGCAGTGGCACAATCTCGGCTCACTGCAGCCTTGACCTCCCAGGCTCCAGCGATCCTCTTACCTCAGCCTCCCTCGAAGTTAGGACTCCAGGTGTGTGCTACCACACCTGGTTAATTTGTGTGTGTGTGTGTGTGTGTGTGTGTGTGTGTGTTTTTGTAGAGATCAGGTCTCACCATGTCACCCAGGCTGGTCTCGAACTACTGAGCTCAAGCAATCTTCCCACCTCAGCCTTTCAAACTGCTGGAATGTTCCTTGTTTTGTATGTATGTTTCATAATTAATTTTTTTGATAGTAAAAGTAATTTATCCTCAAGGAAAAATAGATTTCTTGATATCTGGATATATCAGTTAGTGGAAAGCAATCTTCTAACAGTAAATATGTTGTCCAGGCTGGGATAAGCATTGCTCCATGGAAAAAGCCCAGGCTTCCAAAGGGAAAAAGTCACTCATGGAGAATGGGTGCAGGTTCACTTCCAGTGGAGGCCTCTGTCCCCATTACAACTGCGGGATGTTTGTTTTTTTGAGGCTGCCCCACTTACCTTTCCCAAAGGGCTTTGTTTCCAAGGGCTTATTGTGCTATTATTACCTGTGTGTATGCTCCTTTTGCGAAATATCATGAGGGAAAGAAAAATATTATCTCTTCATTTTGGAACAGGAAGATAAATCAACAAACATGTATATTCTATATATCTGTTGTAGCTGTGTAATCTGATACGTGACATCCTGATATGGGACATTCCAAACATCAAACTCAAAGGTTCATAACTTTAGAGACAATAGCTGTGACACACGCACAGAGATGGAGACCTTAATTTCAAAGAAGCTGCACTGTGCATGACTGTCCATGACAATTCTCTAGACGGACGGAGCACAACAGCTTAGCCATGTGTGCTGGAGGCCTGCTAAGTACACAGACACACAATTGGCGCTCTTGGTTTTATCAGTGGCTTTATGTGGCTGCCTTCACATGGCTGTGAGCTCACAGAAAACTGTGACCACAGCAAGCAGGGGCTGCAGGAGGTTTTGCTAATGAATTAATGACGAGGATGAGGCAGTACTAGGTGGCAGTGGATGAAGGACCCAGGAAGAGGTTTTAGGTTATTAGGATTTTGTTAATGTACATTTTTAACAGGATAGATTTTCCTACACTATGACAAGACCTGTTAACACAGCTGCTAACAACAAAGGATTTAGAATGAGATGAGAATAGGTTTTAATTTCCATTATTCCTGGCTGAGAGCCCTGGGGCGAGTTGCTTACCCAGTGATGTTTTTGGTAACGTGGGGATGATGTCTTCTGAGGCAGAGCAGTGTCTGGTGAGATTGAGGTCACGTAGTGCGGTGTTTACAGACGGGATCTGGCACCCAGTGAACACTCAACGACAGCTGTGTGTGCGTGTGCCTGTGTGTGCGTTTTGGAAGGAAGGGGAAGAATAGTCCATGAACGGAAAGGTAAAGTTTGTTCGTGGTTGAGGGTGCCTGGAAGGGAGGTGGGTGGGCAATAGCAGAACAAAGAGCCTGAAAAGGAACTTGGGGCACATTCCAAAGACCCCTGTTCTAAATGCCTTGCGAAGGTGAAGGCAAGGGCCACCATTTAGCATGCCCGGAACAGGGCTAAAGAGGGGAGCCCTTTCCCTAGGGCCATTGCCATGTAAGGTACGGGGCATCACCTTTTTCTGACTGAACAGCTCTATAAATAGTCACAGGATATTTTCTGTAAATAGTCATCCTTACTCCCAGTTCAGCTTTGTACCTGGTTTCCTTTTCCTCACCTCACCGTACAACAGGAGGCACAATGTATCCACTTTGTTCGCCTGGAAGGCAACAGAATGATCTTAAAATAGTACCCATGGCAGGTATGACTGAGGAAACGGGGTCCAGGCGTGTTGCAGGCACATATGTGTGCACTGGGGTTTGGGCATTGGGAAACACAGAGCTGCTTTCCATTAAAAGAAGACTAAAATGCAAATGCAGATACATAACTCCGCCACACACTCAGACAAAACACCACACACTCACACATGCCTATAGCACACACACATAACATCACACACTCACACATGCCTACACCACACACTCACACATAACACTACACACTCACACATGCCTACACCACACACTCACACATAACACTACACACTCACACATACCTACACCACACACTCACACATAACATCACACACACACGCCTTCACCACACACTCGCACAAACCTCACACACATACACATAACATCACACACACATGCATACACTACACAGTCACACAAAACACACTCACACAAACACCACACATTCACACATGCCTACACCACACACTCATACGTAACATCACACACTCACACATGCCTACACTACACACTCACACATAACATCACACAGTCACACATGCCTATACTACACACACAAAACACCACTACACACTCACACAAAACACCACACTCACACATGCCTAAGTTACACACTCACACAAAACACACAATCATAACATCACACACATGCCTACATCACACACTCACACATAACATCATACACACGTGCTCACACTACACACTCACACAAACACCACACACACAAAACACCACACACTCACACATGCCTATACCACACACTCACATATATAACATCACACACACATGCCTACACTATACACTCACACATAACCACACACTCACACATGCCTACACTACACACTCATACATACCTACACACACTTATACAGACCTACACCACACACACATCATACACACACTCACACCACACACACACACTCACCACACACTCACCTATACCTATACCACACACATACAACACTTCATACTCACACATGCCTACACTACACACTCACACACACACTCACATATACCTGCACCACACATTTACACAGAACATCATACACTCACACATGCATACACACACATATAACACAAGCTCACAACACCACACACACACTCTCACATGCCTACACCACACGTTCACACACAAGATACAGAGAGAAGAGTCTGGCGCCTGCTTCCTGACAAATGGTGCCTCCTTCTATTTGCTGATGAGTTTGAGGAAAACCTCCTTTCAGTTCAGCGTAATACGTTAATGTGGCAGCTTGATGCCATTAAGTACTTCTAGAACATTTTTGACTGTTATACTCAGTTAAAAGTCAATCTAACTATGGGGTCTAAAATTAGACACACGTCTATCTCATCATCTTCAGACACTGTCAATTTCTCATGATTTAACTTACATTGCCTTTTATTCTTTATATCTGCTCTTTTCTGTGTATTTTCTCATGCAAGTATCCCATACACCCTAAAAAGTGGATAAAAAGAAGAATCTTAACAAATGTTAGTATAGAAATGACAGGGTGAATCCATAGTACCATCTAGAGTCTTGGCAGATCATGACAATCTTTCTAATAAGCAAAGCATTCTTTTACTCTCCGAGAAATTTTGAGAGGTTTGAGAAGAAAAATAATGTATTTTCTTCATTTCATCAGTGTAGCTCTAAAGAATTAAATCTATGTATGCTGACAGTCATCACTCCTACAGAATCTTTTCATTTCCCAGAAACGCCTCTACTTTTCAATCATCAGACCACTAAGATATTGCTGAAAGTAATTGGGGTATTACAGGGCCTAGTTTTTACCATGTGAAATTCTATCCTAGACATCAATTTCTGATTATATATCCTGGAGAAAGAATATTTTAAAATGTTACATAAAAAATAATCTTATTAAATATGGGGAAATATTCAACTGGTTGTTTAAGCAAATGAACCTTAAATCAAAAATCGGGTTTGAGTGCAAAGTAAAGTGTGCTAAAGAAAAGCAAAGAAAGAAAGAAATACAAAGTGTGAATGATTTTTTTCATATGCTCCCCCGTTTCTGTTAAAATGCATTTCCTTATTTCGGGCAAGCTGGCTGTCCCTGGCAGTGTATCTGCCTGTTAGGAATATCTCCTTTTTGCAGAGTTGCCTAAAGCTATCAGTGGTCCCTGTTTCCTCTGAATTAATGTCATTGATAAGCGGTAAAAGGGAGAAATGTTGGCAATATATGATTATAGATTAAATGATGCAATTTCAGGGTCAGTTCTACAGAAAGCACTTATAAGACTCTGACAAGTGAAGATGAATGGAAATGAAGGAGTGCATTTTCAACAGAGCCTGGTGCCCGCCGGCTTCCAAGGCTCTGCTGCCATCTGCTGGCCGCGGCGAGGCACGGGCGTGCCCGGCCACACACTTGCTTCTGCTGTCTCTCATTAAGGGAACAGTTCTCATTTTAGGTCGCAGCTTACCTTCGGCATCCATAGACCTGTCAATTAGCCCTCTCCCTGTATTCTGATTCATTTCCAGCAGCAGACGTGCCAAAGACTGGCAGGAACTCAGGGAAATATATCCTGAGCACAGGTGGTATGTTGAATATGCCTTGGTGCTTTATTTGAACTAACCAACTGATACATTTAAACAATATAGGCATGAGACGGAGGGGGAAACTAGGAGACAGAACTGGCGATAAATTTGAGGTAATTATCTAAAATTGTTGCTTTACGATTTGTTTTCTTTGTCCCTATGCTGTCAATAAATGCATACGTTGCATTTTGACACTAACGTAATTTAGTTAAAATCCAGGAATGCGTTCGGCAGCTGCTTTTCCAAGTGTGCACACACAGCTTCTCTCAGGAACCAAGAGTCACTGCCTCCCCTCCTCTCCTTCCCATCTCAAGGGTGCTGGAAATAAATTTGATGCGGTAGGTCTAATTTTATTTTATTTTTTTAAATTGACTCAGTATTTGATTTCTCCCTAGAGACTCACTGCTACCTCTAGGTCGAGATGAGATTTCTGTCGTGCATTAAGCTAATTTGGATTGTGAATGAATACAAGTCCAGGAAGTCGATTCTGAGACCCGATACCCTGCGAGGGGAGTGCAGGATAAGCAGGAGACATTAATTAGCGCTGCCTTAAGCAGTTTTACCGACGCAGGCGGGACTGTGGTGGAGCACTGGAGATGCTGCGAGCCCTGAGCTGCCTTCACAGCCTTGTTGGGTGTGCTGCTGGATCACACTGCATGAGAAATGGAAGCAACCTATCTGTAAAGAGCCTGCAAACCTCAGGACGCTCTGGAAGCCAGTGGAATAATTACAGTGGGATGAGGCTGCAAGTCCCCTTGCTTCCTGAGCTGCATTCATGGCTGTGTGAAGGGGAGAAAGGAATACATTTGAGGTCTTTTCATGGAAGACACAGATATTTTAATGTTGCGATACCATCCAACAGGGTGAGCTGAGAGAACCAACACTAAGAGTTTCACAGATAGAACACCACTATTCCCTGTGTAAAACAGGAGGTAGGCAGGCGTAGGCCTCCCCTGGAAAACAATGTTTTAAGAGCTCATAAATACCTAGACGTCAAATCATCCTCGTTTCTAGTGTTTGTATAGATATTTCCAATAATATATTTAGTGGGCTCACTTTTTTATTTTGTGCATTTATCCTGGTTTATTGTTTATTTTTCCTGAATTATTGGCCAATGAATATTTATATTAGAACAGAAAAAAATATATTCTAAAATTAATGTCATAAAAATAAGTTACATCAGTTAGATGTCCTCTGCATGAGAAAGGGATAAGATGGATTGCTAAATATCCCCTGGGGCTGAGCCAGCAAGACTAGGACTGCACACCCCTCATCATTAGCAAGGACACAAAATCACGGAGGAGACCCAGTTGGCCAGGGCAGACCAGCCAGGCAGTGCTGTGTCGAACGCATGATGAATGTGGTGGATGCATTGAGCTCTCTTCCCAGCTGAGGAGTTAAAGAGAAACATTTAGTAAAAAGGGCCAGGATTTAGTCACAATGCTACCCTCTCCCGATAGAATAATTAAGCAATGAACACAGCTGCACATTTCTGGAATGGACACTGCGAGAAAGGTGTAGTTTTTCCATGTTGTATGGCATTTGTTTTCTTGCAAACAGGCAAGCACGGGCTAGGACTGTTTCTACGCCTGTCTGCACTGTGATATGCACTGTCTTCGCTGCAGAAGAGCACCACAATGCTGCCTTCATATTCCGGAACATGCCAGGCTCAGTTTTCTTTCTTTAAGTCCTCATTTTCTGCTTAATGTGCATACTAGGGCTAAAAAAAGCCTAACTCCTATTTTCTCCCTTCTCCTGAGGTCCTTCTGGGTCAAGATGGCTCCAGGCTGACAGGGTTGTGGGAAGGCGCGGTCTGGCTCTAGTCTGATTCTCCAATCAGAACACAAGACAGTGAGCGTTAAGCTGTCCTTTCCGCTGCTGAGTGACCTTGGAGGACTCATTAATCTCTCTGGCCCCAGTTTCCTCATCTCTATGGTAAGGGAAATGGCGGCAGAGCTCCTCTCAAACGTCAGTTATAAAGCTAAGATAAGCGTGTATCCAGAAAGCAGTTAAGAACGGTACAGTTGCTCAGTGTTGTAGCTGTTATTCCGTTTAACTTAAATTTGTTGAGCATCTGGCATAACCAGGTACAAGAAAATATCACGTTTAATCCCAAGAACAACTCGGTCAGATTGATATTAATATCTCCATTTGGGGAGTGAGGGATCTGTGTCTGACAGAAGTTAAAATGTTGTGTTTAAGGTCACACAAGGAGAGTGATGAAGCCTGCATGTTCACTGTGGACTCAGAAGCCACTGGGCTTTGTCATGTTGCCCTCTGCCCCCACCATTCCATAATAGAGAAAGGGATTGAGCCCTGGAAGTTATATCATTTAAATATCTTGAGAGTATAAGAGGTGGAAGCAATTTCTCCCAGCTGGGTGGAGACAACATCGCTAATTCCTGAGAGGTGTGGACATGTGTTCCAGGAAGAGGGAAGACCTTGAGTAAGTGTCTGGAGGTGAGAGAACAGGTAAGTCTGAGAAGAGGAAGGTGATGTCCATGTCATTGGACCGTTTTTGAGGGTACATGCAGGAGAATATGTGTGACTAAGAATTGTAAATGTTGTTTGAGGCCAAATTTGGAGAGATTTGAGTGCCAGGCAGGATTAGGATTTTAATCCCTCAGCCACCAGTGTTTTTGGTGCAAGGTCAATACACACTCAGTGCTGTATTCCAACAGCAATGTATACAATTTATTACAGAGAAGGGAGGTGACCAGCTACCAGAGTATCACAACTGCAAGAAGCTGAGGTTTTGTGGTACTGGGGAAAGAGGAGTGATCCACAGGCCTTACTAATTCTCTCCCTTCCAGACTGTATTAGTTAAGATTCTCTAGAGGGAGAGAACTAATGGAATATATATATATATATATATACATATATATATATATGTATATGTATATATATATGTATATGTACATATGCATATACAGATATATCTGTATATGCATATATATATATCTGTATATTCATATATATAATGGTTCTCTAGAGGGACAGAACTAATGGAATATTTATATACATATATGTAATATATATGCATATATAAATATATATACACGTATATATGTATACATGTGTATATATGCATATATGTACGTGTATATACATATACACGTACATATATACACATATGTGTGGATATACATTTATATGCATATGTGTATATATACACAAATACATGTGTATATATACACAAATACATGTGTATATATACACATATATGTGTACATAAGTATATGTAGATATGTGTATGTGCACATGTGTATATATGTATATATGTATATATACATATATACATGCGTGTATATATACATGCATATATATACATATACATATATACATGCGTATATATGTACACATATACATATACATATATACGTGTGTATATATGTACATATACACATATATATGTATATGTATATGTATATGTGTATATATGTATTATGTATGTGTATATATATAATTATGTACATTTATATGCATATATGTATACATATATATGCATATATATACATATATGTGTACATGTATGCATATATACATTACATATATGTATGCATATATAAATATATGTATACATATATGCATATATAACATATGTACATATATGCATACATATATGTATGCATATATAACACATATATGCATACACATATGTATACATATATGTATGCATATATGCATACATAACACATATGTATACATATATGTATGCATATATATGCATATATAACATATGTATACATATATGTATACATATATGCATATATAACACATATGTATGCATATATGTATACATATATGCATATATAACACATATGTATGCATATATGCATATATAACACATGCATATATAACACATGCATATATGCATAAACACATATGCATATATATTACATATATGCATATATACACATATATGCGTATATGCATATATACACACATGCACATATATGTATATATGCATATATATGCATGCATATATATTACACATATGTATAAATATGCATATATATATGCATATATATCACACATATATGTATGCATATATATATATCACACATATATGTATGCATATATAACATTTATGCATACATATATGCATATATAACATATTTATGCATATATATAGCATATATATGTTATATGCATATATTACATATATACACATATGCATATATATTACATATATATGTATACATATATATGCATATATAACATATGTATATATATGCATATATATACATATATGTATACATATATATGCATATATATACATATATGTATACATATATATATATATTACATATATACATATATGCATATAACATATATACATATATATGCATATATATTACATATATACATATATATTATATATGTATGCACATATACATATATATTACATATATGCATACATATATTACATATACATGTATTACATGTATTACACATGTATTTATATACATATATATGTATATAAATGGGAGTTTATTAAGTATTAACTCACACCATCACAAAATCCCATAATAGACCATCTGCAGGCTGAGGAGCAAGGAGAGCCAGTCCAAGTTCCAAAACTGAAGAACTTGGAGTCTGACGTTGGAGGGCAGGAAGCATCCTGCCAGGGAGAAGATGTAGGCAGGAAGTGTAGGCCAGTCTCCCTTTCAACAGTTTCCTGCCTGCTTTTATTCTAGCTGAACTGGCAGCTGATTAGATATGGTGCCCACTCAGATTAAGGGTGGGTCTGCCTCTCCCAGTCCACCTACTCAAATGTTAATCTCCTTTGGCAACACCCTCACAGACACCCCAGGATCAATACTTTTATCCTTCATCCACTGAAGTTGACATTCAGTATTAACCATCACACAGACCATCTGAACCTCCTGGAATCACCCCCGCCTCCATCTCCTGAGTGCCTGCATACGGTCACTCCCCTGAGCGTGGTATGAATAGGGGACAATATCCCTAAATTACCCCCAACAACGCAGCAGGGAACAAGGACAAGAACATGAGCTGTCAGTTACACATCTGGGGTCCACATCCCAGCCTTGCCAACTCCTAGCCACATAAAGTTAACAAGGCTACACAAGTTCTCTGAGCCTCCTTCCCTTGTGGGTAAAAAAAAATAACAATATGTGTAACTTGGTGGGGGAATGTGTCCTTGCCATAATGAGAGGTGACAGCGTGCTGGCAGCCCTCACAGCCCTCGCTCACTCTCGGCGCCTCCTCTGCCTGGGCTCCCACTTTGGTGGCACTTGAGGAGCCCTTCAGCCCACCGCTGCACTGTGGGAGCCCCTTTCTGGGCTGGCCAAGGCCAGAGCCGGCTCCCTCAGCTTGCAGGGAGGTGGGGAGGGAGAGACGCAAGCGGGAACCAGGGCTGCCTGCGGCGCTTGTGGGCCAGCTGGAGTTCCGGGTGGGCGTGGGCTTCGCAGGCCCGCACTGGGAGCAGCTGGCTGGCCCTGCCACCCCGCTCAATGAGGGACTTAGCACCCGGGCCAGCGGCTGCGGAGGGTGTACTGGGTCCCCCAGCAGTGCCAGACCACCTGCGCTGCGCTCGATTTCTCGCTGGGCCTTAGCTGCCTTCTCTCAGGGCAGGCCTCGGGACTGCAGCCCGCCATGCCTGAGCCTTCCCCCGCCTCCGTGGGCTCCTGTGCAGCCCGAGCCTCCCTGAGGAGAGCTGCTCCCTGCTCCATGGGGCCCAGTCCCATCCACCACCCAAGGGCTGAAGAGTGCGAGCGCATGGCGTGGGACTGGCAGGCAGCTCCACCTGCAGCCCGGGTGCGGGATCCATTGAGTGAAGCCAGCTGGGCTCCTGAGTCTGGTGGGGACGTGGAGAACCTTTATGTCTAGCTCAGGGATTGTAAATACACCAATCGGCACTCTGTCTCTAGCTCAAGGTTTGTAAACACACCAATCAGCACCCTGTGTTTAGCTCAGGGTTTGTGAATGCACCAATCCACACTCTGTATCTAGCTGCTCTGGTGGGGCCTTGGAGAACCTTTATGTCTAGCTCAGGGATTCTAAATACACCAATCGGCACTCTGTCTCTAGCTCAAGGTTTGTAAACACACCAATCAGCACCCTGTGTCTAGCTCAGGGTTTGTGAGTGCACCAATCCACACTCTGTATCTAGCTACTCTGGTGGGGCCTTGGAGAACATGTGTGTCCATACTCTGTATCTAACTAATCTGATGGGGAGGTGGAGAACCTTTGTATCTAGCTCAGGGATTGTAAACGCACCAATCAGCGCCCTATCAAAACAGGCCACTCGGCTCTACCAATCAGCAGGACGTGGGTGGGGCCGGATAAGAGAATAAAAGCAGGCTGCCCGAGCCAGCAGCGCCAACCCCCTCGGGTCCCCTTCCACACTGTGGAAGCTATGTTCTTTCGCTCTTTGCAATAAATCTTGCTACTGCTCACTCTTTGGATCCACGCTGCTTTTATGAGCTGTAACACTCACCGCGAAGGTCTGCAGCTTCACTCCTGAGCCAGCGAGACCACGAACCCACCAGAAGGAAGAAACTCCGAACACATCCGAACATCAGAAGGAACAAACTCCAGACGCGCCACCTTAAGAGCTGTAACACTCACCGCGAGGCTCCGCGGCTTCATTCTTGAAGTCAGTGAGACCAAGAACCCACCAATTCCAGACACAATAAGAACAATACACATGAAAGGCAGGTCTGGCTTCCCTAGTTTGCTTTTCTGTCTGTCCGTGAGCCCCTGGACATGGGGTTCATGCAGCAGCGATCTCTTCCCCCATCCTGCTTACTGCCAGAGCATCTGGCTCTGTTCCCTCTGGCCTTTATAAAAGCAGCTGTAGGAAATGCTGCAGGCGCCTCAGCAGGATGAGGGGGAAATGGCGTCTCCACGCACTCTAGAAATACGGCCTCAGAGCCCCAAAGTGCAAGCGACTGGAGGACCGGACATCACCATCCTAGGAGCCCAGCCTGCACCATCTTCTGATGACATTCATTTTTCTCAGACCATTTTTCACTTTCGTCTCTAGAGTAAAGTGAGCTGTGATGTGTACTATTCTGCCTGTATTATTTAATCAGTTAATACATTAAATAACATTTGATACATTAAATAACATTTAGTACATTAAATAAGAATTCAAGTATTCAAGTAACAACCCTAAAAATCTACCACAGACAAATCAGAGTACACCACATGAATCTACAGCAGTTCAAGTTTGAACAAAATTAATAATAAAGAAGATAGACTTTATAAAACACAACACTTCCAAACTGTAAGCCTACTCTTCTTTCTATAGTAATTTAGTATTTATTTTTATCAGAATTATAAAATGTAGAATTAGAGATGTGTATCAAGGGGAAAATGACAATTCACTATATCTCAATTTCCAGCCATAACATTGACTAATTTAGGATTCTTCAATTTTCTCCTGTATGTTGTGTGTGCCTGCATACATACATGTTTACTTTCACAGACTATTGTAGATGGATTGTGGTTTCTTATTTTTCACTTGATATTGGATAGCTGACATCCCCCATAGTGTATGTGTATATATGTGTGTGTATATATATATATATAACCGTTACTCAATAATCAGACCTTCAGATTCTTCCTAATTTTCCCAGTTATAAATGGAGGCATAATTAATAAAATCTTACGTTAATATTTGTCCACATTTCTGAATGTTTTCCTAGGCTAGATTCCCAGCAGTAGAAATATTGGCATAAATATTAAGAATACCTAAGTGATTTTAATACATATAACGAAATGCTTTCATAAATAAACATGAACTCTCTTAAGCAGTATATAAAAGTACTAACACAATATACCTTTATCAACTTTCATTATATGTTTCAATCTTTGCTAATTTGATTTAGCAAAAAATGATTTCTGGGGAAAGGTGGGCTATGAGTTTGATCTCCCTGCTTTCCCAGATGGAGAAGAAGAATTGAGAGATGAGACTGTTACTCCAGAGTTTAGAAGAAAGTTCTGGGATAGAGATATTCATCTTAAAGTTATCAGGAAACAGGAGAGTTGATGCCAGTTTCTGGGTAGCACACCTAGATTATATGCTAAATTGTGCTTTTAATTTATTTAAAGCTGAGCAGAAAGTGACAGAACATATAAGGAGCAGTAAAAATAATAAAAAGGGCAATGACTGTGATGTCACTGATGATGTTATCAATGATAATAACATGAGTGCCTTAGGCTTCTGGCCACCCACATGCATTTGCTCACTTAATAATGAATCAGGCATGTTAGGTGCTATTAATATGGCTATCGAATAAACAATGAACTGTGGCTAACAAAGATTGCCCAACTTACAAGTGTTAGATGTGAAACTTGCTCTCATGTGTGTCTGAATCCAAAGTATGTGCTCTTACCAATCAAGATAGGCCGCCACTATGAAACTGCCATTGACTAGCAGAGATGTTGGGATGGAAGGGAACATGGCTTTAGACTTGTTTCCTTCAACAGGTATATTTAATAGGTTTACTGACTTATAGCTGTCATAATTCCTTTTTCCTTTATAGAAGGTGATAAATATTGAAATATATGTGAATTAAATATATATGAACAATATGCAAAAACATAAAATATATATGAAAATCAATATATAATATGAATGAATATGTATGAATATAGCTTGTTTATAAACACATGTATAAATATGATCTAAGTTTTATTCATAAATTTAGAAATATTTAAAATTAAACAGTGTTTCCAGATCTGTATGATTTGTCAGCAAGAGTTATACATGTCACAGGAGAATGTGCGGTATGGCCTCAGCTCCATACATAAATGACATGTCTTTACTCACCTTGATCCCACTGCTGCATCCACAGTAATGAAGTGGAAAGAAAGCAATTACATGGATTGCTTAAGTAATTCCCATAAAAAATCCATGCAGAGTGGTTTCCAGTCTGACATGCTATAGGATTTGGAAGTCATCACTCCTATCCTTACAACAAAAACAAAGCTGAACAAACTGAAAATCAACAACTCTTCTTAGATCCATGAGAGAATGGAGGTCACAGGACAAACTGCTTCCTGAAAAACTGGAGAGACAGACAGGTGGACACAGAAAATCACAGCTAACCTGAGCAGAAGCCCACAGCTGAAACCACTTCAAAGTTTAAAGTAGGGATGCCTTAAATGGTAATTAGTAAATTGCTGAAGGCTCCATGTGAAGTAGCTTGAAAGTTAAAAATTCCAGTTTTGGGGGTGGGTTGGGGAGGAGATGAGCATACTTTCCTGAGTTTTACTTCCAGAAGCCTCCCAGGTTTTCTGGGAGGAGATCTGAGAAAAAGTCCCTGGTAGTTCTTGCTGGAGCAGAAGAAAAGTAACTATTTTGAAATAAGCCCAGAGCTCTCTGTTCTCCTTGGAGACTTGCCCTCAAGGACAATTAGTGTACTATCGCCTAACCCACTGGGGTTTTTTATAAAACCTAACCAGTCTGAGGGAAAGGAAATACCCAGTCAGGCTCATTAAAAGACTGAAACAAGGTAATTACGAAAGGTGAAGGATATGATAATTTGCTTACTCATAGGCATCATATCACTGTGTATATGTAAGCCAAAACATCATGTTGTACACCTTAAATACATCAAATTTTTAAAAGACTAGAACTTAATCTTAGGAGTATAGAAGCTTCCCTTCTCCCAACAGCTTACCTTCTCCCAACAGCTCACCTCCAAATCAATAGGGCCCCTCCACATCAATAGCATAGAAATAAAGAATTGTAGCTAAAGAACTGTTAGCTTTAGACCCTATTTCATAGTCTCTAAGACACTCAATGGAAACCAGAGAGGCAAAAACAGAGACTATAGAGGAAATGTTTAACTTCTGATACCACAGTTACAGCAAACGGTAAACATAGCCTGACTCCTAGCCACATAAACCTAAATCTTACACTCAAAGCCTATCTCCTTTAATTCCTTTTACCCAGTGCATCATGCCTGTCTTGCAACAAAAACAGTCACAAGCCATGCCAAAAGGCAAAAAAAACATCAAAAAATGCAAGCCAAGAGTCAAAGCCGGCTCAGATATGGCAGAGATTTTGGAATGATCAGACCAGAAATTCAAAATAACCATGATTAATATGATACCAATGCTAATGGAAAAGTTAATAACAACAGGCACAAACATATGGATAATATAAACAAAAAGATGGAAACTCTAAGAAAGAATCAAAAGGAAATGTTAGAAATCAAAATCTCTGTAAAAGAAGTGGAGAATGGCTTTGATGGCCACATCAGTAGACTGGACATGGCCAAGAAAAGAATCAGTGACCTTGAAGATATGTCAGTAGAAACTTCCCAAACTGAAATGCAAAAATAAAAGAATGAAAAATATGGAACAGAATACCCCAAAACTGTGGGCAATTTACAGAAGGTGTAAAATACACATAACAGGAATACAAGAAGCAGAAGAAAGAAAGGAAAATAATAAATATTTGAAGAAATAATGGTGAAGCATTTTGGAAAGTTGACAGACACCAAGCAGCAGATCCAGGGAGCTCACAGAACACCAAATAGGATGAATACCAAAAATCTATACCTAGTCATGTCATATTCAAACTGCAGAAACTTTTTATAAAGATAAAATCTTGAAACAGGGCAGAAAAAAAAAACCACCATACTTAGGGAGGAACAAAAATCAGAATTACATAGGACTTCTCTATAGAAACCATTCAAGCAAAAAGAGAGTTGAGTGAAATATTTGAAGTGAGTTGAAAGAAAAAAAATTTAAACATCAGCCTAGAATTCTGTATCCAGGGAAATTACAACATATAAGTGAAAGAGAAAGAAAGATGCTCTGAAAAAGAAAAAAAAAATGAAGCAGTATATCACCAGTAGAACTTACCCTGCAAGAAATGTTAAAATAGCTTCTTAGAGAGAAGGAAATGATATAGGTCAGAAACTCAGATCTATATAAAGAAAGGAAGAACATTTCAAAAGGAATAAATGCAGGTAAAATGAGACATTTCATTTTTCTTATTCTTACTGATTGAACAGAGAATAGTTTGTTCAAAATCATTATCACAACAATGAATTTGATGATTATAGCTTATGGGTAAGTGAAATTAATGACAGCAATGTTATAAGAGGTGGGAGGGAGAAATTGAAAATACTCTGTTATCGGGTACGTGCAGTAAACAGGAAGCACTATAGTGTTATTAAAAGTGGACTTGGATTAATTATAAATGTATATTGAAAACTCTAGAGGGCCAGGCATGGTGGTTCATGCCTGTAATCCCAGCACTTCAGGTGGCCAAGGCTGGTGGATCATTTGAGGTCAGGAGTTCGAGACCAGCCTGACCAACATGGTGAACCACTGTCTCTACTAAAAATACAAAAAAATTAGCTGAGTATGGTGGCATACACCTGTAGTCCTAGTTACTTGGGAGGCTGAGGCAGGAGAATCGCTTGAACCAGGGAGGCAGAGGTTGCAGTGAGCCAAGATGGCACCACTGGACTCCAGCATGGGAGACAGAATGAGACTCTCTCTCAAAAGAAAGAAAGAAAGAAAGAAGAAAGAAAGAAAGAAAGAAAGAAAGAAAGAAAGAAAGAAAGAAAGAAAGAAAGAAAGAGAGAAAAGAAAGAAAGAAAGAAAGAAAGAAAGAAAGAAAGAAAGAAAGAAAGAAAGAAAACTCTAGAATAGCCACTTAAAAAAGTTTTTAACAAATTGATATGCCAACAGAATAGAGGAAATGGAATCATAGGAAGTACTCAACTAAAACTAGAGAAGGCACAAAATCACTGGAAGTACAATTAAAAGAAAAAAGACAATGAATAGACTGTTGCAAATATGGAGGATATTAATCCAAATATGTCAGTAATTTTTTAATGTGCATGGTTTAAGTACACCGTTAAAACACAGAGACTTTCAGAGTGGATACAAATAATAAGACCCAAGTACATATTGTCAACAAGAAACTCACTTTAAAAAGACCCAGATTGACTGAAAGTAAAAGGATGAAGAGACATGTACCATGCTAATACAAATCAAAAGAAAGTGAGAGCAGCTGTATTGACTTCAGACAGAAAAATTCAGAGCAAGGGAAGTTATCAGAGATAGAGAGAGGCATCACATAATGGTAAAAGTGTCACATTTTCCAAGAAGACATAAAAACCCTAATGTGTATGTGGCCAGAAACAGTGTAAAAATGCATGAGGCAAGAACAGATAGAAATGATAGAATAAACAGATACTACTATTATAGTTGGAAGCTTTAACACCCTTCTATCAGTAATGCACATATCCAACAAACAGAAAAGTTGTAAGGACATAACTGAACTGAAAGCACTGTCAGTCATCAGGACCTAACTGACTAATTACTTCACCTAACAGTTATAGAAAGCACGTTCCTCTGACAGGGAGCATTCACCAGTAGAGATCACATTCTGGGCCAGGAGTCACATGTTAACATATTTAAAAGAATAGACATCACACAAAGTAGGCTCTCAGAGCACAATGGAATTAAAGCAGCAATCAATAACAGAAAGATAGCTGGACAATCCAAATTATTTGGTTATTAAACAATACACTTTTGAAAAAAATCCATAGGTAAAGATGTCTCAAAGATAATTTAAGTGTTTTGAACTAAGTGAGAATGAAAATACAACTTATCAAATTTGTGGGGATACAGCCAAAGTGGCACTTAGAGGGAAAATTATAGCACTGGATGCATACATTAGAAGAGAAGAAAAAAAATAAACTAAGTTGTCTAAGCTTCTATTGTAGTCTATTTTGTACTGCTTTAACAGAATCCCATAGATTAGATAATTTATTTTTAAAAAAGAAACTAATTTATCAGTCTTGAGGGTGGAAAAGTTTAATATCAAGGTGCTAGCATCTGGTGAGGGCCTTCTTACAGCATCATCCCATGACAGAGGCAAGAGGGAGAATAAGAGAGCAAAAGATAGAACTCAAAGCCACAGGCCCTGTTATAATCAGCATTAATCCATTTGTGAGGGTGGAGCTTCATGACATAAACATCTCCCATTAGGCCCCACCTCCCAACAGTATTGTATTGAGGATTAAGTTTGCAACATGTGCATTTTGGGGGACTCATTTAAATCATAGCATCCCACTCCTGGCCCCCCTAAATTATATTCTCACTTGGAGAATATATGCATTCCATTTCAAAAGCCCCAAAGTTTTAACTTGTTTCAGCACCAACTCAAAAGTCCAAAGTCTTCTCTAAGTCAGATATTGGCAAGACTCAAGACACAATTCATTTTGAGGCAAATTATCTTCCAGATGTGAACCCGTGATAATAAATCCAGTTATGCACTTCCACAATACAATGGTGGGACAAGCAAAGGATAAATATCACTATTCCAAAGGGAGGAAACAGGGAAAATAAAGGAGTAACAGGCCCAAGTAAGTCCAACATCCAATAGGGAAAACAACATCAAATCTTAAAGCTCCAAAATTATCTTCCTTGACTCCATGTTCTGCCTTCTGGGCATAGTGGGACAATAATGGATCCCAAAGTCCTCAGGCAGCCCTTCCCTATGGTGTTGCTGGGCTCAGCCCATATATCAGCTCTCCTGGGTTAGTTTCTCCTGCTGCAGCTCTCTCAGGTTCAAGTTATGTGCTAGTGGCTCTGCAGCTCTGCAGTTTGCAGGTGGTCCTACTCCCATAGCTTCACTAAGCATTACCCTGATTGGGACTCTCTGGAGTGGACCTGCCCCCTGACACGTTGCTGGGCCCCAAGTCTGTCTCCAACATCCTTTGAAATCTAACTGCAAGAAGTCATGCCACCATAGACTCTGCATTCTGTGCACCTGCAGAATTAGCATTACCTGGATGCTGCCAAGGCTTCAGTTTGTACCTTCTTGAGTGTTGGCCTAAGGCACACTTGGGCTGGCTTGATCCACAGCTGACAGACCCAAGGAGCACCACATCGGAATACAGGAAGCAGACACTTGCGGTGGTGCAGGAAAGCAAATGTTGGCGTCCAGTGGCACTTTTCTGGAAACCTTGCCTTAAGGTTCTAGTTTGCCTGGAAAATCTCTGAAACGCATTCAGGGTCATTCTTCCAGTGTCTTAATGAATAGAATCTGGTTTCCTTTTTCCCATACAAATCTCTAGCAAATGGTCTCTTGGCTACACGCTTAGTATTCTCTCCTAAACACACCATTTTATACTTTTACATGGCCAGGCTGAGAGTTTTCATAATCTTTCTGTTCTGCTTCTCTTTTAATTATAAATTTCATCTTCGCACTATCTTTTATCTCTTGGGTTTTGTTTTATTTCATTAAAAGAAGCCACGCAACATCTTAAATGCTTTGCTGCTTAGATATTTCTTCCACCAGATATCCTAGTTCATTGTTTTTAAATCCTGCCTTCCATAGAGCCCTAAAGCATGGACATAATTCAGCTAAGTTCTTTGCTACTATATAACAAGAGTGGCCTTTAGTCCAGTTTCCAATACCTTGCTCCTCATTTCTGTCTGAGACGTTATCAGAATTGCCTTTACCATCCATATTTTAACACAGATTCTGATCATAGCAACCTAAGTAATACCTAAGAAGTTTCCAACTTTCCCTACAACTATTCCCTTCTTCTGAGCCTTCAATTACCCTTAATGCTCAGATCATGGAAAAACAGGTTTTTTCTAGCATTCACTTCAAAACCATTTCAGGCTTGACTCATGACCCAGTTCCAAAGCTGCTTCCTCATTGTCAGGTATTTGTTACAGCAATAACACTACTCTCAGTACCAACTTTCTGTCTCAATTTATTTTGTGCTTCTATAACAAGATATCAGAGACTGGGTAACTTATAGAGAAAAGGAATTTATTTCTAACAGCTCTGAAGGCCGGGAAGTCTAATTTCAAGGTGCCAGCATCTGACAAGGCCCTTTTTGCTGTGTTGCCCCCATGGCAGAGGCCAGAGATTGAGCAAAGGCAAGAGGGAGAGGATGAGAGATTGAGCTTTCAGTCTCAGACCCATCATAACCCAAGTTAACCCTACACACCCCAATTAGGGCCACCCCCAACACTATTGCAATGGGGATTGTTTTCAACACATGCTTTTTGGGAGGATACATTCAAACTACAGCAGCCTACATCTAAGGAAACTAGAGAAAGAAGAGCAAATTAACTTCAGTGTATGCATAAGAAAAGGAATAACCAAAATTGGAGCAGAAATCAATAAAGATGAAAATAATGGAGAAAATCAGCAAAACTAAAGGCTGATTATCTGGATAGATTAATAAAATTGATAAATTCTTAACCATCAACATTAAAAATGAAACACTAAAAACATTGGTTAAATTTCTGTATAAATTTAACAAATTGTGAACAAGATCTATGTGGGGAAAAATTTAAAAATCAAAGATTACCCCAGTAATGGAAAAATATTCCATGTTTATGATTGGGAAAACTCAATATTTTTAAATTATTAATTCTGCCCAACCTAATATACATTCAGTGGAATCCCAATAAAAAAATTCATCACTTTACTTTGTGGATATTTACAAATGGACTCTACAGTTTACATGGAGAGAAAAAAGAAACAGAATAACCAACATAACATTAAAAAGGAAAAATAAAGTGAGAGAACAGACACTACCCAACTTTAAGTCTTAGCATAAAGCCTCAGTAATCAAGACAGAGTAGTCTTAATGAAGAAAAGGACAGAGATAAATAGAGAACAGAACAGAGAGCCCGGAAATATCTCCACATAAATATCCACATAATCAACTAATCTTTGACAAAGGAGCAGTCACAATTCAATGGAGAAACATTAGTCCTTCAACAAATGGTACTAAAACAAGTGAACATCCACATGTAAAATAAATAAATCTAGACAAAATGTAAAACTAAAAACTCCTAGAAGATAAAATAGGAAAAAAGTCTAAATGACATTTTGTTTGGCAATGAGTTTTTAAATACAACACCAAGAGCACAATCTGTGAAAGAAACAGCACTAACTTCGACTTCATTAAAATAAAAAAAACTTCTGTTCTTTAAAAGTCACTGTTAAGAGAGTAAAACGATAAGCCACAGACTGTGATAGAATATTAGCAAAACACATAATAGAGGCATTGTATCCAAAATATATAAATCACTCTTAAAACCAAACACAGTAAAAACAATAACAAAAAAACAAACAATTAAAAGGCAGACCAAAAATTTGAACAGATACTTTACCATAGAAGATATACAGATGGTTAATAAGAGTATGAAAACGTGCAAAATATTATACGTCATTAGGGAATTGCAAATTTAAAAAACAATGGGAAGCTGGGCACAGTGGCTCACGCCTGTAATACCAGCACTTTGGGAGGCCGAGACGGGTGGATCACCTGAGGTCAGGAGTTCTAATCACACTCTTAGGCATTTACATAAATGAAAATTTATGTCCACTCAAAAAGCTGCACAAACTGTTTATAGTAGCTTTGTTCATACTTTTCAAAATTATGAACAAAATAGCAATTAAATAATTATTAATACAAAGCAGTTGGAATGCCCTTCCATAGGTGAAGAGCTCAGCAAACTGTGGTATATCCATAAATGGAATATTATTCAGTGATAAAAAGAAATTGTTTGGTGTTATCAAGTCAGAGAAAAGACATTTACATGCATATTGCGAAGTGACAGAAGCCCTGTGAAAAGGCTACCTACTGTATGATTCCAACTATATGACATTCTGGAAAACGTAAGACTATGGAGACAGTAAAAACATCAGTGGTGCTAGAGCTGGGGAGGAGAGAGAAACAGACGAAGCACGGGGACTCTGAAAGGCAGTGAAACTAACCTGTAAGAGACTATCATGGTAGAGGCTGACACTATGCATTTGGCAAAATCTATAGAACCTACGACCCAGAGAGGCAACCCGAAAGTGAACTATGGACTTTAGTTAAAAATTATTGAAGAGTACTGGTTCACCAGTGCAAAAATGTGCCACATCAATGCGAAGGTTCACAACACGGACTGTGAGGGCAGGGAAGAAAGAGTACATGGAAACTGTACTTGCTGCCAGATTTTTCTGTAAACCTAAAACTCCTCTAAAAAATAAAGTCTATTAATTTTTTAAAATCTATGAAGATAAAGCTAATAGAAGCCCATATGCCTCCATCTATATTTATTGAGCATCAACTATGTGCCCACACTGGTCTACACCCTGTGTGAACAGCAGGGAGTAGACAGGAACCTGTTCTCCTAGAGTTCACATTCTAAAGGGGCTAAACAGGCAAGACACAACAAAACAAACATAACAGGATAAATTCAGATAGAAATATGTTGACACAAAGAAATTTTAAAACAGAACAATAAAAAGAAAAGTGACTATATTCGGGGAGAGAATGATATTTTAGTTGAGACCAGAAGGACAAAGAAAAAAATCCGGTCATGCAAAGAAGGAGGAAAATGCATTTTAAAAAGAAGCGTCACACATGCAAAGGGCCAATTATTGTTTCAATTTCCAAATGATCAAAGACTTTCTAAAGTCATTTGAATAATACAGAGTAAGAAGTAAGGTGAAGGTGTACACCTTTCTCTATGTCTCCAATATTAAAATATGTCATCCCCATTACATGGCAAAGGAAACAACTCTCTTCTGCAGAGGCTGTCTTACAATTGTGTAAATTTAGATGGTTTAAATCTGAGGCTTGTTAAATGGATACTACTAAGTCAATGTCAATCACTAATTTCGGAATGACAGAAACAACTAAAACAATGAGACCAAGAACAAAATATTTGTGTTTTGATTTGACACAATTATTCAATATGATTATTTTGCCAAGTGACCAAAATCAGTGACACACTAGGAACTAACATTTTGTAGAATTAAAATTGCTGTTAAGTATTTTTATATACCAGAGATAACATAAATAGCACTAGTTGAAAATCTGACAATCTCTAGATTCTATTATCTACAAGTCTCCATCAGACCCTGAAGACATACAAAAGACAATATATGACTGAGTGCACATAAATCAATAGAGGGTGATATGTATTTTCCTAGAGTTAACCCAAGGTGAAAAAGGAATGATAAATTCAATGCAGAAAGTTGAGAGCATTTGGAGAGGTTATCTGTACAGACCAATAACAAGATGTTAGGAATGTGAAAGTACTTTTTATATTTAAGTGGGCAAAACAGGCAGCCACTTTTAGTTTTTTTTTTTTTTTTTTTTTTTTGAAACGGAGTCTTGCTCTGTCGCCCAGGCTGGAGTGCAGTGGCAAGATCTCGGCTCACTGCAAGCTCCGCCTCCCGGGTTCATGCCATTCTCTTGTGTCAGCCTCCCGAGTAGCTGGGACTACAGGCACCCACCACCATGCCCGGCTAATTTTTTGTATTTTTTAGTAGAGACGGGGTTTCACCGTGTTAGCCATGATGGTCTCAATCTCCTGACCTCGTGATCCGCCTGCCTCGGCCTCCCAAAGTGCTGGGATTACAGGTGTGAGCACTTCGCCTGGCCCAGGCAGCCACTTATTAACATGCATCCTTAACTGGACAGGCTTTTCCCAAAACTATTTAGGAGACATATATATATATATATATAAAATAAAATGATTTTATTACACCTTCTGGATTTGCCTTCCTTTGGATAGGTGACATAACTTTAATCTAACTAACTATATATATATTTAGGAGATATAAATTTAGGAGATATATATTTATATCTCCTATAAATTTAGGAGACATATATTTAGGAGATATAAATATATATATAGTTAGTTAGATTAAAGTTATGTCACCTAGCCAACGGAAGGCAAATCCAGAAGGTGTAATAAAATTATTTTATTTTATTTTATATATATATATATCCAAAGGAAGGCAAATCCAGGTGTAATAAAATTATCAGTCACTTGTACCTCTCTATCAATCTACAAATCTTCCTTGTACCTCTCTATCAATCTACAAATCTTTCCTGGGATTAAGTTTTCATAATGAAGGAAGAAGATAATTTATTCTCACTTTTCAATTTGTTTGAACATTTACATGGCACCGGGAAAGAGATAAAGAGTGGTGAGTTTATATATTTTTCTTTTCAACTGCCCAAATTCTAGGTTTCTTATAGGAATACGTGAAAAATAAAGTTGTCAAGCTCTGTATCATGCAATCAAAGCAAGTGGAACTATTTTGTACTGCTGCACTTTCTGTTAAACATATGATAATCCAAGGACAAATTGCCTAGATTATCTGGTACTATGTCTCACTTTGAACATACTCTGCAAGGATGTGCAATGATGACAGAGATTCTCTTTAAAGGATGAAAACACGAAGATCATTTGCATCTAAAAGATAATGTTCCATCAATTCCATTTCCTGGTGGATGAATTGATTTTCAGTTACCAAATTACAATAGAAGAGAAGGACTACCAGAGGTATTAGCTGCTGTCCCTGGAGAACGTGAGACGCAGCAGCAGCTGTTCTTTGCAGACAGTGGGCTGCCTGCCTGTGCTGCGTTTAGGCTGCTGTGTGTTCTGGGTGAAATTCTTCTCAAATGTTAACACTGAGAGGAAAGCTCTGTTTCCATCACCTGCTTCAAAGGGCTTCCCCGTGGCATTTTGATTTCGCTAAATAGGAACGTATGAATCAGCCTGATGAAACAGAACGTTCAGTTCAAAATTTTGTTTCTGACAAATCTCTTAGTCTTAATTATTAAAAGAGATATGTTCTCTTTGAGGCAATTGTCAATGGAAATTCACTCATGATTTGGCTCTCTGTTTGTCTGTTATTGGTGTATAAGAATGCTTGTGATTTTTGTACATTGATTTTGTATCCTGAGACTTTGCTGAAGTTGCTTATCAGCTTAAGGAGACTTTGGGCTGAGACAATGGGGTTTTCCAGATATACAATCACGTCATCTGCAAACAGGGACAATTTGATTTCCTCTTTTCCTAATTGAATACCCTTTATTTCCTTCTCCTGCCTAATTACCCTGGCCAGAACTTCCAACACTATGTTGAATAGGAGTGGTGAGAGAGGGCATCCCTGTCTTGTGCCAGTTTTCAAAGGGAATGCTTCCAGTTTTTGCCCATTCAGTATGATATTGGCTGTGGGTTTGTCATAGATAGCTCTTATTATTTTGAGATACGTCCCATCAATACCTAATTTATTGAGAGTTTTTAGCATGAAGGGTTGTTGAATTTTGTCAAAGGCCTTTTCTGCATCTATTGAGATAATCATGCGGTTTTTGTCTTTGGTTCTGTTTATATGCTGGATTACGTTTATTGATTTGCATATATTGAACCAGCCTTGCATCCCAGGGATGAAGCCCACTTGATCATGGTGGATAAGCTTTTTGATGTGCTGCTGGATTTGGTTTGCCAGTATTTTATTGAGGATATTTGCTTCAGTGTTCATCAAGGATATTGGTCTAAAATTCTCTTTTTTGGTTGTGTCTCTGCCTGGCTTTGGTATCAGGATGATGCTGGCATCATAAAATGAATTAGGGAGGATTCCCTCTTTTTCTATTGATTGGAATAATTTCAGAAGGAATGGTACCAGTTCCTCCTTGTACCTGTGGTAGAATTCGGCTGTGAATCCATCTGGTCCTGGACTCTTTGGTTGGTAAGCTATTGATTATTGCCACAATTTCAGAGCCTGTTATTGGTCTATTCAGAGATTCAACTTCTTCCTGGTTTGGTGTTGGGAGGGTGTATGTGTCGAGGAATCTCTCCATTTCTTCTAGATTTTCTAGTTTATTTGCGTAGAGGTGTTTGTAGTATTCTCTGATGGTAGTTTGTATTTCTGTGGGATTGGTGGTGATATCCCCTTTATCATTTTTTATTGCATCTATTTGATTCTTCTCTCTTTCCTTCTTTATTAGTCTTGCTAGCGGTCTATCAATTTTGTTGATCCTTTCAAAAAACCAGCTCCTGGATTCATTAATTTTTTGAAGGGTTTTTTGTGTCTCTATTTCCTTCAGTTCTGCTCTGATTTTAGTTATTTCTTGCCTTCTGCTACCTTTTGAATGTGTTTGCTCTTGCTTTTCTAGTTCTTTTAATTGTGATGTTAGGGTGTCAATTTTGGATCTTTCCTGCTTACAAGGGATGTGAAGGACCTCTTCAAGGAGAACCACATACCACTGCTCAATGAAATAAAAGAGGATACACAAAAATGGAAGAACATTCCATGCTCATGGGTAGGAAGAATCAATATCGTGAAAATGGGCATACTGCCCAAGGTAATTTATAGATTCAATGCCATCCCCATCAAGCTACCAATTACTTTCTTCACAGAATTGGAAAAAAATAGTTTAAAGTTCATATGGAACGAAAAAAGAGGCCCCATCGTCAAGTCAATCCTAAGCCAAAAGAACAAAGCTGGAGGCATCACGCTACCTGACTTCAAACTATACTACAAGGCTACACTAACCAAAACAGCATGGTACTGGTACCAAAACAGAGATCTAGATCAATGGAATAGAAGAGAGCCCTCAGAAATAACGCCTCATATCTACAGTTATCTGATCTTTGACAAACCTGAGAAAAACAAGCAATGGGGAAAGGATTCCCTATTTAATAAATGGTGCTGGGAAAACTGGCTAGCCATATGGAGAAAGCTGAAACTGGATCCCTTCTTACACCTTATACAAAAATTAATTCAAGATGGAATAAAGACTTAAACATTAGACCTCAAACCATAAAAACCCTAGAAGAAAACCTAGGCATTACCATTCAGGACACAGGCATGGGCAAGGACTTCATGTCTAAAACACCAAAAGCAATGGCAACAAAAGCCAAAATTGACAAATGGGATCTAATTAAACTAAAGAGCTTCTGCACAGCAAAAGAAACTACCATCAGAGTGAACAGGCAACCTACAAAATGGGAGAAAATTTTTGCAACCTATTCATCTGACAAAGGGCTAATATCCAGAATCTACAATGAACTCAAACAAATTTACAAGACAAAAACAAACAATCCCATCAAAAAGTGGGCGAAGGACATGAACAGACACTTCTCCAAAGAAGACATTTATGCAGCCAAAAAACACATGAAAAAATGCTCACCATCACTGGCCATCAGAGAAATGCAATTCCAAACCACAATGAGATACCATCTCACACCAGTTAGAATGGCAATCATTAAAAAGTCAGGAAACAACAGGTGCTGGAGAGGATGTGGAGAAATAGGAACACTTTTACACTGTTGGTGGGACTGTAAACTAGTTCAACCATTGTGGAAGTCAGTGTGGCGATTCCTCAGGGATCTAGAACTGGAAATACCATTTCACCCAGCCATTCCATTACTGGGTATATACCCAAAGGACTATAAATCATGCTGCTATAAAGACACATGCACACGTATGTTTATTGCGGCACTATCCACAATAGCAAAGACTTGGAACCAACCCAAATGTCCAACAATGATAGACTGGATTAAGAAAATGTGGCACATATACACCATGGAATACTACACAGCCATAAAAAATGATGAGTTCATGTCCTTTGTAGGGACATGGATGAAATTGGAAATCATCATTCTCAGTAAACTATCGCAAGAACAAAAAACCAAACACCGCATATTCTCACTCATAGGAGTGAATTGAACAGTGAGAACACATGGACACAGCAAAGGGAACATCACACTCTGGGGACTGTTGTGGGGTGGGGGGAGTGGGGAAGGATAGCATTAGGAGATATACCTAATGCTAAATGATGAGTTAATGGGTTCAGCACACCAGCATGGCACATGTATACATATGTAACTAACCTGCACATTGTGCACATGTACCCTAAAACTTAAAGTATAATAATAATAAAATAAAATTTAAAAAGCGATATGTTATTGATAATAATCGAAGTATCAATCTATGATGAAATCTTCAACAAAACAGTGCTTTACTGCTGTGAAAAACATTATTGGCAAAATCACTGTGGGATGCAAAATGCAGTGACAAACCAATGTCACAGATAATATGGCACCACAGTCACCTTTGGCTTACATAATAGGTATGTCTGCCTTCTCTGTTGGTGTTGGTTATTTCAGCCAGCAATGTACATCTTCTGATGGAGTTATCTTTGGATACTACAAAGGATGGGAGTAATATGAGCCTCACAACGAAAATAAATAAGAATTGTTACTGATTTTCCTGTGTGGCCTTAATGACATTTCAGGTGGTAAAATAAAAATTCAAAACCACATTATCCAGGAGAACATGGTTCCAGGGACTCTGTCTTTTGCCAAGTAACCCTGGGAGAATCATCTTTCCAGTAGGTTAACGTTTCGCGCCACAAGAAAACATCACCTTTCTGGGCCTGTCTTGACATTGGTTCTGTGACATCAGTTATAAAGGTATGAACCCACAGCTCCTTGGTGTGGAACTTATAAAGGTATGAGCCCACAGCTCTTTGGCGTGGAACTTATAGGATATTGATAGCAGAGAACAAGGCCTTGCATAGACAAAGCCTTGTGCAGAATCTCTTAGACTTTTCCCAAATCTTCAGTTATTAGTATAGATAGAGACAAGAATTGATAACTTGAGAGGGTATATGATTATCAGTGTAATAGAATTGACTCTTGTGGGCAATTACTGATTTTTTTCAGTAAGATATCAGAACAGTTGCTGGTAAACTTCCAGCCTGTCTTAAGAGTCTATTAAAATAGCTTTCCCCATTTAGTCTGAGGTGAAGAAGAACACTGGTGTATTCTAACAGAAATATGTGGTATGGTAGAAAGGATTTCAGTTTCAGGGTCGATCACTTGCCAATTTTTTGGCCTTGAATTAGTCACCTCATGTTTGTTTTCAAAACATCAGCTTTTCTATTTACACTTGCCCAAGGAACTCTGGTAAAGCTTGGTTGTGATGCTTAGATAAAGAACCAAAGGTTGTCCCTGACATAATAATATTTAATAAATATTAATTTTCCACTTTTCATCACAACTTATGTTCCTGTTTGCAAACTCCTTAAGCAGACTATGTTCATGTAGGCTCAACTCATTCCCTGAAACACATAAGGCTGGCAAACCACAATTGGATTGTAATACAAAGCTACAACTCAAATATCAGGGCTAAAGTTTTGTCAAGGTTGGGTTATAGAAGGGAGAGCTCTTCTTGTAACCTACAATTTAGGAAAGAACTTCCTCCTTAAATAATTGCTCATCATCTGCAGATGTTGTTCAAAGTCCTAGAATTCCTTTAGGAATCTGTAGACACTTTCCAATATCAGATTGTTCTGTTGGAAGGAAGACCCTGGACTTTCAATGCTACCATGTGAGTTTTAACCAAGTTGTTCCCAAGCGACTATTTGTTTACCTCCTGCTATGGTTTGAATGGCCCCCTAAAGATTGTATGTTGGAAACTTCACCCCCAGTGCAACAGTGAGAGGAAGCGGGTTCTAATAAGAGAAGACTAGGTCATGAGGGCGATGAGTGTTATTGTGAGAGTGGGCTTGTTATAAAAGTGAGTTTGGGCCCCTCTGGTCTCTTTCTTGCACACTGTCTTGCCCTTCCACCTTCTGCCACTTCTGCCATGGGATGACGCAGCACAAAGACCCTTACCAGTTGAGGTTCTGGGCTCTTGGACTTCCTATCCTCCAGAAATATGAGCCAAATACATTTCCTGTCCATTTTAAATTACCTAGTCTGTGGTATTCTGTTACAGAAACATAAAATGGACTAAGATACCCACCTCTGTAATAAATAGAAATTGTTGGCTGGGCGTAGTGGCTCACACCTGTAATCCTAGCACTTTGGGAGGCCAAGGCAGGCAGACCACTTGAGGTCAGGAGTTCGAGACCAGCCTGGCCAACATGGTGAATTGCTCTCTCTACTAAAAATACAAAATTTAGCTGGGCATGGTGGCAGGTGCCTGAAATCCCCACTACTTGGAAGGCTGAGGCAGGAGAATCACTTGAACCTGGGAGGCAGAGGTTGCAGTAAGCCGAGTTCACACCACTGCACTCCAGCCTGAGTGGCAGAGTAAGACTCCATTTCAAAAAAAAAAAAATTGTTCAATGAAATGGCCAGAAGTCTTATTCCCAGCTACCCTCCCTATAGTTTCCATATTTAGCAATTATCATAGGTTAGCTTCTAGCGTGCTAGTAATGTCCTGTTCCATGATCTGACCATTCTAGTTTGTGAAAATTCAGTGAACTATACACTAATATTGTCTATTCTATATGTATGTTATATTCCCATAAAAATGCTTATGAAAAAACCCACAGAAGCTTTCACTGGCCATAAACAGTAAAAAATTGAGCATCTGTAAGTATCATAACCACAATGGATTGAATACACAACATGTCTGACTCCCTTAGTTTTTAAAAATATAAAAGATACAAATAACTGACCTTTTTGGTCACCTTGTCAGGAAATATGGAATCTAATCATCTGTTTGAAAACTGGTAAAAAGGGCCATGCGCCATGGCTCACGCCTGTAATCCCAGCACTTTGGGAGGCCAAGGCAGGTGGATCACAAGGTCAGGAATTCAAGATAAGCCCATCCAAGGTGGTGAAACCCCATCTCTACTAAAAATACAAAAAAAAAAAAATAGCCAGGTGTGGTGGTAATCCCACCTGTAATCCCAGCTGCTTGGGAGGCTGAGACAGAGAATTGCTTGAACTTGGGAGGTGGAGGTTGCAGTGAGCCAAGATTGCACCACCGCACTCCAGCCTGGGCGACAGAGCGAGACTCTGTCTAAAAAAAAAAAAAGAACAGAAAGAAAGAAAACTGGTAAAAATAAATAAATAAAGATAAAAAATAAATCAAGCATTTAGCTTGCCTTGACTTTATGAACTTGATCACAGTAAGAGCAAAGGTAGTGAGAAGTTTTTTGACAGAAGTGACCAAAATGATAAATGAAGAATATATCAATGAATAATAATCAGATTATTACTATTTTATGACACCTAGTGAAACTGTGGAACAAGGTTATAAACATCAGTAATTGCTCTCATTGCAAAAGAAAGATAACTGAAATTTGTGCTTCCTGTTAAAAGGAACCAGACAACACCATCTAAGAAGTGTGTTTGGTAAACTTTGTTTTCAGAGTAAACTGCTACCAGTTTACAGAAAATTCAGGGGTTACAGGAACATATTAAAAGATACCACAGGAATGCAATTAGCAATCTTTCCACAAGAGTTTACAAGACAAGGACAAGAATTGCTTGAACCCAGGAGACAGAGGTTGCAGTGAGCTGAGATGACACCACTGCACTCCGGCCTAGGTGACAGAGAGAGATTCTGTCTCAAAAAAATAAAATAAAATAAATAAGACAATTAAACACCGATTAGGTGGTTATTAATATTAAAATATATTTTTATTGTTTTAGGTGAGATAATGGAATTCTTATGTTTTCCCAGAGCTTTTATCTTGTAGGGGTATACACTAAAATATTTATGAATAAATTTTTTTCTTTGCTTCTAAATAATCTTGGATATGAATAAAATGTATGTGTGTGTGTGTGTGTTGTTCTGTTTTGATAAAACAAGATTAACCATGAGTTGATAATGTTTTAAGCTATAAGTATATAGCATATTTTTCTGTTTTTATGTGCTTGTAATTATCCATAATTAAAAAAATATGCGGATGGCTGTTAATTTCTTTCAAAAATAAATAAAATAATCCTTAGCACAATGTAATAGTCTTTGAAGCCTGCCTTCAAGTTGCAAAAGTGACTCTTGGGCAGCCATCCTATACATTATTACTTGTTTTTTTTCCACAAATCCATTTTACTTCCATCTGTTTGTGTTAGCTATCCTCTTGTGATAATGCCCTTCCCTTCCCTGTCAACTTATTTCTGAAACTCACATTCAATAATACTTCTTTCTCCAGTATCTCTCCCTGAAAACCCAGCAAGTACTAAATGTTGATGCCTGTAATTTTCTCGGCTCTTTGTGTTCCCTTGGTTATAGTATTTACCTTATTATGCTTTGCTTATATAGTTACACCCATATTCTGCCTGACTCTGAGCTCCTTGAGAACAGCCACTGGGTATCACTTTTTTTATATTCCAGATTTCAAGCACACATACTAGCCTTTCAATGACAGCATACATGATTGTTTATAGGTGTGCCATTTCCAGAATCACCATTTTTTTCTACATTCACAGCACCCACATGTATTCCTGCACATACTGAATTATTCTGCGGCATCCAGCCAAGGGTCTTTTGGTTCTAAAATAACATCTGGACTTCATTATTAAATAAACAACAATACTAGGATGTGACAGGTTACATGCTTCTAAACCCAGTTCCAGATTGCGTTCTAAGGTCCGTTGGATTCTTAAAGTAGCTTTTCTTTGTACAGAATTTTAGTATGCTTGATTTTGCAAGCAGCTCAGGTGAGCAGTCTGACTTTTGAGCAAGAGTTAATTCTAAATTGGTCTGAAAATATTGTGGAATAGCATTCCTGAGTCTCATTGCGTTTGTGCCCAGACCTCTCTGCCTAGAAGTTATAACCAAGATATGTATCAGGAGCTGCTCCATTAATCCCCATGAGATGGAAGCATGCACCTTAACTCCAAAGGGCTTTTTTCTTGAGCCTAATATTAAATTTGCTCCAGTCAAAAAACAAAGTTAGTAAGCTTAGGTGTGGAATTGATGTCATCTAAGCATACCAAAAATAGGAGTCTGGAGGCAGCTGGTGCAGCCCCCTGAGGTAGGCAGGCCTGTCCTCATCAACCTGTTTATCCTTTTGTGGGATTTAAATCTCAAAACAGTGGCTGATTGAAACTATACTGCTCTTTGGAGTGGTGACATGGTGACACAGGTATAATGCTCTGTCATCTTTTTAATATAGCTGCTGATAAATGTGCACACTTTTACTATATAGGAGATTTTTTACTGATTATAAACCAATAAATATATGATAAATAATAATATAATATGATATAATATAATATAATGTAATATAATAATAGCATAGTAGAAAACCAAAGAATAGTCATACTAATATTCTGATGACATAAAGTAGTTGTTTTTTACATGTTTTTTTCTAAGTTTTATTTACAAGGATTACATAATGTTTTTACAATTGAGAGTAAGACAAGTGTTTTAAATAAAATTTGGTGCATGTATCTGGATTAATTTTACCCATCAGGGTGCTCAAATCTGAAAATGTTATAGTTTAACAATGTACAATTTTAGTTATCAGTCATACAATGTGCAGTTCAGGTAGACCAGCCTTCCTCCTTCTTGTGACTGTGCCATATGGCACATATGGTCTTCAAGATTTTTGTGGCAAATAAAACAGTTATGGAGAGGTCACACTGCTCTTGACCTCCTGGGACTTCTCCTAGTCTACTGGCTGGAGCTACTCCTAGGGCTCCACACAAGATCCTGGGAAAGGCAAGAGAGCATATGGATCCTTGGTGAGCATTTACTCTCAACTGGTGACTGGTTATTTTTTAAAGTATTTAGAGAAAGGAAATGATAGTGACAAATTACTATAAAAAGATCTCCTCTCTCCTTACTTGAGGAAAATATCCTAAAAGACTTTCATTGTATAAATAGAAAACTTTCCATTTTGTACATTAGCAGTGAGTTAATGAATGTGTTTTACAGATTTCACTGTTGAAATACTGGAAACAAATTGCATACAACAGTAATAACTTTCTGCTTCTCAATTTCTACTCATCCTAGCAATATTTAAATATTATTTAAAATAAAGTATGTAAATAACATGAAAAAGAATAAAAAGAAAACTCAAATGAAATGAAAACAAAATTTTTGTGTCTCTATTTCCTTCAGTTCTGCTCTGATCTTAGTTATTTATTGCCTTCTGCTAGCTTTTGAATGTGTTTGCTCTTGCTTTTCTAGTTCTTTTAATTGTGATGTTAGGGTGTCAATTTTGGATCTTTCCTGCTTTCTCTTGTGGGCATTTAGTGCTATAAATTTCGCTCTACACACTGCTTTGAATGTGTCCCAGAGATTCTGGTATGTTGTGTCTTTGTTCTCATTGGTTTCAAAGAACATCCTTATTTCTGCCTTCATTTCGTTATGTACCCAGTAGTCATTTAGGAGCAGGTTGTTCAGTTTCCATGTAGCTGAGCGGTTTTGAGTGAGTTTCTTAATCCTGAGTTCTAGTTTGATTGCACTGTGGTCTGAGAGACAGTTTGTTATAATTTCTGTTCTTTTACATTTGCTGAGGAGAGCTTTACTTCCAACTATGTGGTCAGTTTTGGAATAGGTGTGGTGTGGTGCTGAAAAAAATGTATATTCTGTTGATTTGGGGTGGAGAGTTCTGTAGATGTCTATTAGGTCCGCTTGGTGCAGAGCTGAGTTAAATTCCTGGGTATCCTTGCTAACTTTCTGTCTCATTGATCTGTCTAATGTTGACAGTGGGGTGTTAAAGTCTCCCATTATTAATGTGTGGGAGTCTAAGTCTCTTTGTAGGTCACTCAGGACTTGCTTTATGAATCTGGTTGCTCCTGTATTGGGTGCATATATATTTAGGATAGTTAGCTCTTCTTGTTGAATTGATCACTTTACCATTATGTAATGGCTTTATGAATCCAGGAGCTGGTTTTTTGAAAGGATCAACAAAATTGATAGACCGCTAGCAAGACTAATAAAGAAGAAAAGAGAGAAGCATCAAATAGATGCAATAAAAAATGATAAAGGGGATATCACCACCGATCCCACAGAAATACAAACTACCATCAGAGAATACTACAAACATCTCTATGCAAATAAACTAGAAAATCTAGAAGAAATGGAGAGATTCCTCAACACATACACCCTCCCAACACTAAACCAGGAAGAAGTTGAAACTCTGAATAGACCAATAACAGGCTCTGAAATTGTGGCAATAATCAATAGCTTACCAACCAAAAAGAGTCCAGAACCAGATGGATTCACAGCCGAATTCTACCACAGGTACAAGGAGGAACTGGTACCATTCCTTCTGAAATTATTCCAATCAATAGAAAAAGAGGGAATCCTCCCTAATTCATTTTATGAGGCCAGCATCATCCTGATACCAAAACCTGACAGAGACACAACCAAAAAAGAGAATTTTAGACCAATATCCTTGATGAACATTGAAGCAAAAATCCTCAATAAAATACTGGCAAAACGAATCCAGCAGCACATCAAAAAGCTTATCCACCATGATCAAGTGGGCTTCATCCCTGGGATGCAAGGCTGGTTCAATATACGCAAATCAATAAATGTAATCCAGCATATAAACAGAACCAAAGACAAAAACCACATGATTATCTCAATAGATGCAGAAAAGGCCTTTGACAAAATTCAACAACCTTCATGCTAAAAACTCTCAATAAATTAGGTATTGATGGGACATATCTCAAAATAATAAGAGCTATCTATGACAAACCCACGGCCAATATCATACTGAATGGGCAAAAACTGGAAGCATTCCCTTTGAAAACTGGCACAAGACAGGGATGCCCTCTCTCACCACTCCTATTCAACATAGTGTTGGAAGTTCTGGCCAGGGCAATTAGGCAGGAGAAGGAAATAAAGGGTATTCAATTAGGAAAAGAGGAAATCAAATTGTCCCTGTTTGCAGATGACATGATTGTATATCTAGAAAACCCCATTGTCTCAGCCCAAAATCTCCTTAAGCTGATAAGCAACTTCAGCAAAGTCTCAGGATACAAAATCAATGCACAAAAATCACAAGCATTCTTATACACCAATAACAGACAAACAGAGTCAAATCATGAGTGAACTCCCATTCACAATTGCTTCAAAGAGAATAAAATACATAGGAATCCACCTTACAAGGGACGTGAAGGACCTCTTCAAGGAGAACTACAAACCACTGCTCAATGAAATAAAAGAGGATACACACAAATGGAAGAACATTCCATGCTCATGGGTAGGAAGAATCAATATCGTGAAAATGGGCATACTGCCCAAGGTAATTTATAGATTCAATGCCATCCCCATCAAGCTACCAATTACTTTCTTCACAGGATTGGAAAAAAATACTTTAAAGTTCATATGGAACCAAAAAAGAGCCCGCATCGCCAAGTCAATCCTAAGCCAAAAGAACAAAGCTGGAGGCATCACGCTACCTGACTTCAAACTATACTACAAGGCTACAGTAACCAAAACAGCATGGTACTGGTACCAAAACAGAGATATAGATCAATGGAACAGAACAGAGCCCTCAGAAATAACGCCACATGGCTACAATTATCTGATCTTTGACAAACCTGAGAAAAACAAGCAATGGGGAAAGGATTCCCTGTTTAATAAATGGTGCTGGGAAAACTGGCTAGCCATATGGAGAAAGCTGAAACTGGATCCCTTCCTTACACCTTACACAAAAATTAATTCAAGATGGAATAAAGACTTAAACATTAGACCTCAAACCATAAAAACCCTAGAAGGAAACCTAGGCATTACCATTCAGGACATAGGCATGGGCAAGGACTTCATGTCTAAAACACCAAAAGCAATGGCAACAAAAGACAAAATTGACAAATGGGATCTAATTAAACTAAAGAGCTTCTGCACAGCAAAAGAAACTACCATCAGAGTGAACAGGCAACCTACAAAATGGGAGAAAATTTTTGCAACCTACTCATCTGACAAAGGGCTAATATCCAGAATCTACAATGAACTCAAACAAATTTACAAGAAAAAAACAAACAACCCATCAGAAAGTGGGTGAAGGACATGAACAGACACTTCTCAAAAGAAGACATTTATGCATCCAAAAAGCACATAAAAAAATGCTCACCATCACTGGCCATCAGAGAAATGCAATTCCAAACCACAATGAGATACCATCTCACACCAGTTAGAATGGCAATCATTAAAAAGTCAGGAAACAACAGGTGCTGGAGAGGATGTGGAGAAATAGGAACACTTTTACACTGTTGGTGGGACTGTAAACTAGTTCAACCATTGTGGAAGTCATTGTGGCAATTCCTCAGGGATCTAGAACTGGAAATACCATGTGACCCAGCCATCCCATTACTGGGTATATACCCAAAGGACTATAAATCATGCTGCTATAAAGACACATGCACACGTATGTTTATTGCGGCACTATCCACAATAGCAAAGACTTGGAACCAACCCAAATGTCCAACAATGATAGACTGGATTAAGAAAATGTGGCACATATACACGATGGAATACTATGCAGCCATAAAAAATGATGAGTTCATGTCCTTTGTAGGGACATGGATGAAATTGGAAATCATTATTCTCTGTAAACTATCGCAAGGACAAAAAACCAAACACTGCATGTTCTGACTCATAGGTGGGAATTGAACAATGAGAACACACGGACACAGGAAGGGGAACATCACACTCTGGGGACTGTTGTGGGGTGGGGGGAGTGGGGAGGGATAGCATTAGGAGATATACCTAATGCTAAATGACGAGTTAATGGGTGCAGCACACCAGCATGGCACATGTATACATATGTAACTAACCTGCACATTGTGCACATGTACCCTAAAACTTAAAGTATAATAATAATAAAATAAAATAAAAAAGAAAAAAAAGAAGTAAAATTTTTAAAATGTGCTTAATACTTTTTATACATCAGTCTACATTTTTTCAAAAACTATTAGAGAAAGAATGAAGTAATTTATTTTATACCAAGGAAATGATGTTTTTAGATTTAAGTGCCTTTTTACAATTTATATTGCAAATTTGGAAAAAAATACATATTGAGACATCATGTTCAATTCCAGTGACAGAACAAGTACAAAATAAAGGTTGGCCAATTCTCTAACTCTAGCTTCAAGAGAAGATTTCAAGGCCAAGAGTATAGTAGAGTAGTGTAGAGTAGAGGAGTAGAGTAGAGTAGAGTAGTGTAGGTTTCAAGGCCAAGTCTTCCTCTTTTCCCTCTACTTCTCCTTTTTCTATATCTTCTCAGCATAGCTTCATGAGATAATGGGTTGAATATTTTAGCAACACAGAAAGTTAGAAAATAAATGGTAATATATTATTTTATAATAGGAAGAGAGAACAGTGAGTAGTCTACTGACTTCTAAAGATGAAAGATGCTTTAGGAATTGATCTAAATATGCAGTATGGAAAAAAGAAGTGGACACTAAATTCTCATTTATATAGTGATAAATGACATACTAACCTGCATCTTATCCTGCATGACATTTATATGATTATTTTATCATATAAAAGGGCAAAATCAAGTAGGTTATAGTAGAAATTAAAGCCACAAGTGAAGCCTTTAAGATAAATACATAAAAATATGTGGAACACCTTACAGATTTTAATTAAATTGATACTAAAAAAATAAGACTACTCAACTTGCATATCAAATTGGGGAAATCTCTAAGCATTGAGCTGTGCCTAAGTAGGTAAGGGTAGTTTCCTGAAAGAATGACAGTGATAACAAGGGAGCCTGGTTCATTACCCACAGTTGTCCTACAGGAGATGATGAATGGAGAATAATAATACAGTATTGTGAATTTGAATCCATTTTTTAATACTTCTAATGAAGCTAGTTTTAACACTAGGTGATATCGTTTGGATTTGCTGTCTCCAAATCTCCCATGGAAATTTGACCTCCAATGTTGGAGATGGGGCCTAGTGGGAAGCATTCAGGTCATGGGAGTGCATCCCTCAGGAACGGCTTGGTGCCCTCACCACAGTAATGACTGAGTTCTCACTTTCAGTTTATGTGATCTCTGGTTCTTTAAAAATAGAGTGGCACCTCCGTATTCTCTCTCTTACTCCCCTCTCTCTGTGTGACATGCTGACTCCACTTCGCCTTCTGCCATGAGTGGAAATTTCGTGAGGCCCCACTAGAAGCAGATGCTGGCACCACACTTTTTGTAGAGCCTGCAGAACTGTGAGCCAAATAAACCTCTTTTCCTTATAAATTACTCTGTCTTAGGAATTACTTTATGGCAATGCAAATGGACTAATGCAAAAAAGTTGGTACTGGGAGTGGAGTGTTGCTATAAAGCTACCTGAAAATGTAAAAGTGCCTTTGGAAATTGGTAACAGGCTGGGTAAGAGGCTGGAAGAGTTTGGAGGGCTCAGAAGAAGAAAGGAAAATGAGAGAAAGTTTGTAACTTCTTAGAGATTGGTTAGGTGGTGGTGACCAATGTGCTGACAGATATACAAACAACGCCAGGCTGACAGGGTCTCAGAAGGAAATAAGGAATTTATTGAAAACTGGAGCAAAGATCTCCCCTGTTATAGTATAGCAAAGAACTTGACTGTATTGTGTCCATGCCCAGGAGACTGGTGGAATGTTGAACTGAAGAATGATGACTTGGGGTATCTAGTGAAAGAAATCTTTAAGCAGCAAAGCACTCAAGATGTGACATGGCTGCTTCTGACAACGTACGGTCAGATATGGGAGCTAAGAAATGACTTAAAGTTGAAACGTACATTTAAAAAGGAAACACAGCATAAAAATTTGGAAAATTCACAGCCTGGCCATGTAGTAGAGAGAGAAAAAGCATTTTCAGGAGAGGAATGTAAGTGGGCTGTGGAGCAAGCACTTGCTAGAGAGATTAGCGTAACTAAATGGGAGCCAAGTGCTAATATACAAGGTAATTAGAAAAAGGTGTCAAAGGCATTTTATAGATTTTCAGGATAGGCCCTCCCATTGGAAGCCCAGAGACCTAGGAGGAAAGAATGGTTTCAGGGTCTAGGTCCAGGGCACAGCTTTTATGAGCCACCCTACAAGGATGTTCCTCACATCCCCACTGCTCTAGCTCCAGCCTTGGCTCAAAGGGCCCCAGATATTGGTCTGGTCACCACTCTGAAGAGAATAAAACCATAAGCCTTGGTGGCTTGCAAATGGTATTAAGCCTGCAGTTGTACAGAATGCAAGCATGAAGCGGGCTTGGCAGACTCTGCCTAGATTTCAGAGGATGTTTGGGAAAGCCTGGGTGCCCAGGAAGAAGACTGCCACAGGGGCAGAACACCCACAGAGGAACTCTACCAGGGAAATTTCCAAGGGAAAATGTGGGATTGAAGCCCCCACACTGAGTCCCAACGATGGTACTGCCTATGGAGCTGTGGGAAGGGGACTGCCATCTTCCAGACCTGAGATTAGTGGAGCCACTGGCAGCTTGCACCCTGATTCTGGAAATGCCACAGGCACTCAACTGCAGCCTGTGATAGCAGCCACAGGGACTATGCCCTGCAAAGCCACAGGGTCAGGGACTATACCCTGCAAAGCCACAGGGACAGGGACTACACCCTGCAAAGCCACAGGGGCAGGGACTATGCCCTGCAAAGCCACAGGGGCAGGGCTGCCTGAAGCCCTGGGGGCCCAGCTCTTGAACCAGTATGCCCAGGATGCAGCAAATACAGTCAAAGCTTATTTTGGAGCTTTAAGATTTAATGTCTGCTGGGTTTCATATTTGTGTAGTGCCTGTTGCCCCTTTCTTTTGGCTGATTTATCCCTTTTGGAGTGGAAATGTTTATACAATACCTGTACCACCAATGCATATTGGAAGTAAATCAATCACTAAATCACTTATTTTTGATTTTACAGGCTCATAGGTGGAAGGAATTTACCTTGAGTCTCACATGAGACTTTGGACTTCTGAATGATGCTGGAATGAGTTAAGACATTGGGGAACTATCGGGAAGGAATAGCTGTATTTTTCAATGTGAGGAGAACATGACATTTGAGGGGCCAGGGACAGAACAATATGACTTAGATGTTTTGTCCTCTCAAAATCTTATGTTAAAATATGACCTCTAATGTTGAAGGTGGGCCTAGTGGAAGGTGTTTGGGTCATAGAGGTGGATCCCTCATGAGTGATTTGGTGCCTTTCTCACAGTAATGAATGAGTTCTCACTCTGAGTTCGTGTGTTATTTGGTTGTTTAAAAAGAGCGTGCATCTCCCCTCTCTCTCTTGCTCCTCTGGTCCAGGTGTTAGGGTGGGGCTCCAACGGCAGCCCAAGGATGAATCATGTGACAAAGGTTACATTTCTCTCTCACTCCGTGTGACACACTGGCTACCCTTCAACATCCACCATGATTGGAAGCTTCCTGAGGCCCTTACAAGAAGCAGATTCCAGCCCCATGCTTCCTGTACAGCCTGCAGAACCATAAGCCAAATAAACCTCTTTTTATTATGAGTTACCCAGGCTTAGGTATTCTTTTATAGCAATGAAAATGGATGTGCACACAGAGTTATGTTCCAGATCTTCACATCTACATTCGTATCTGATTGCTTACAATAATGAGAATTTTTTTTCAGCAGCATAAGCCAACATTTGATTTCAAAAGCATCAGTTTGTAGGCTAATAGGTTGTTCCTGCCACCTCAACATCCATTTTCCTTTTCTACATTAATAGTGGCTTTGCTTTGAGGAAACAAGCATCTTGCTCCTCTGGTCCAGGTGTTAGGTTGGGGCTCCAACGGGCAGCCCAAGGATGAAGCATGTGACAAAAGTTACATTTAATGGAACATTAAACTTTTTCACCCAATGGATTCACTGATAGATACATGGCCTAAGATCCACCAAATAATGCAATTACATCTCCTGGGACCCAATTTTATTTCGTAAGAGTAAATTCCAAGACTTATCTGAAGTTGCCAGGTAGAGATAAACCCTTCTCAGCCAGACGTGAATGCATGGCTGTCTGCTTAAATGGAATCAGATACCAAAGTCCATATAACTGAAGATAGACTGAGAGGTGAAAACAAGTACAGGTAACGTTTGCACGCCTGGGTCAAGCTGTTCCTACAGCCAGATGCTTTGGTCATTTGATCTGATAGATGGTGTTTTTACATAAGTCAACCCATGGTGTTCTATCATTTACAACACTATTTAAATTATTCATTTAAAAAGGTTATATACTTGTTATAATGAAGCTGCCATGGTTCAAAATTATTGTATAATGTTTTCAAGGGAATTGACTTTAGGAACAGCTTATAAAACACAGAATAAATAAATTTCATTATTTTATAAGCACGTCTTATTTCTGATCGCAAATAGTATTAGGGTTAGCCACCAAGCACGTTTTGCTTTAAATAGCAATGGGATGTCAAAGCGCGCGCACACACACACACACACACACGAGACAAAAGTTTGCTGCCACTTAGAATCTTTAGATAAGCTAGTTCTAGGCTCCAAAGATACTTTGGGAGGTTTTATAAATATGTCCTGAATAACCACCAAGGTTGGTGGATGCAGATGCCATCCTTAAGTAGCATTTTTGTATGTGGAAGGTAATAATTATTTTAATATATTATTTCTCATGTTTATTTTAAAGTCTGGGATTTTTTACTAAGCTGAGGCAACAGGATATCAGTTCATCTGGGAATTCATTCGTTCTTTCTCGATTCAAAGATGTGGCCTCTTAAAGAAATTTTCAGGTTTTACTAAAGGATTATGAAAAATAGGCTGCCAATGAAGGTCAGAAGTTGTACTTTTACAAGAAGAAAATCAGGTAGAGACCAAAGAAAAATACTGTAGAAGAGTTCTGTAGCTGGCAAATGAAATTCTTCTTTAATTACTTTTCTTATTGAATATTTATGAAAAATCAGTGTTCAACAAAATAAATTGCTACTCACTGCCCAGATGTTTGAAATTTGTAGCTAAATATTAATTCATAGAAAGGTGCCCACTAGCATTGTTATAACTGAATAAAAAATTGCCTAAAAATGTAACAAAGGGCTAATGAGAGAGAAAATATAAATAATCATGAGATAAACACATATTCAGGGTTTATAATTATTCACAGGAATGAGTTTTCCAATTGGTTATAGTTAAAAACAGTGATTTTTTAAAGAAAATTTCATTTCAAATGTGAAACATTCATTTACTTCAAATATTCATATACATTAAATAGTAATGTGTCCATATTTATAGGTCAGTTCTATAAATACATATGTTCAACTTGTGAATTTTTACAGAGAATAATTTTTCATAATTCAGTAAACCTCAGTTATTAGATTCCTGTTGCCTATTGTACCCCCTTTTTTGAATTTTGAAAGAAGTTTTAAAATACATTTAATGTCACTGGAATGTTAAACATTATTTAGTATTTTCTAACTTAATATTTCTTAGATGTCTAATGTAAAAAAATGGAATGGGTCTCTTTCACAAAATGAGAGACACAGATACTGACATTAGAAGCTGATCAGACATCCACTCATTCATTTTATGAATGATGAAACAGATTCGGAAAAAGAAAACCAGCAAGACCTAACTCAGCTCAGTAATGAACGGAACAAACCAATACTGCCTCACTCTCTTCTGTACATGGCTTTTATAATTTACGTAGTACATTATAACATCCAGGCTGAATCACGAGACTATTTGCTATATATATATATATATATATATATATATATATATATATATATATATATATATATGGTTTATACGCTTCTGCAAATCAAACTCAGAGCTAAGGTACATTCAATTAAAAATCCTAGTGCTTTAAGAAGAAAAGCAAAAACTAGCACTGACCCCTGCAATAAAGTGGAAGTAGTGCCTCATGTGCATACTTAGCTATTTACACATGAAACAGGTCTTCTCACGACACTAAGTATTCATTTATCTATAAAAAGACAAGTTTCAGGCTAGGTGCAGTGGCTCACACCTGTAATCCCAGCAATTTGGGAGGCCAAGGTGGGTGGATCCCTTGAGGTCAAGAGTTTGAGACCAGCCTGGCCAACATAGTGAAGCTTTGTCTCTACTAAAACTACAAAGATTAGCCAGGTGTGGTGTTGCGCACCTGTAGTCCCAGCTACTCAGGAGGCTGAGGCAAGAGAATCTCTTGAACCCAGGAGATGACGGCTGCAGTGAGCCGAGATCATGCCACTGCACTCCAGCCTAGGTGACAGAGCAAGACTCCATCTCAAAAACAAATAAACAAACAAAGCAAGTTTTACATATAAAAAAAACCTTCAACAGTAATATGGAAGTGATATTACCAGACAAACCTCAGGTAGATGCACTGGCCTTTCTAGCTGCTGTCACCATGCTGTGGATAACGCTGCCCATGAGGTACACCTAGGGACACTAGAAGCCTATGCCCAGGGGCACTAACACCGTGAAGCAAACCGGGAATGGATAGAATGAGGAAGACTTACTCGCCCATGAGCTTCTCCCATGTTTGTTCTTAGGGACAGAACACAGTAATCAACAAAAATGATTTACTCCTCACAGTCAGGCCTAGCATTTTGATCCTGTCTCAAATGTGTCTTTTCGGTAAATTGAGGCATTTTCTTCCATGTACTCTCTCCCAGCAATGATATTTACCTATATAATCCATATGAATTCTCTGAAATGCAACGATCAAATTCAAATAAGAGAACCTGAGAATAATCAAAAGCAAATTGTCAGAGAATCATCCCGAGCGGATGCTGTTTGCTGACACCTGCACAGCACAGGATGATATGTCCTTCGGCCCCTTGACACCAAGAACTATCTCCCAAATTCTGTTTCCATACCCACAGTGTTGTGAAAGCTCGATCCCTATGAAGCCACGGATTCCAGGTGGCTCCGTCGGATCACAAGCACTCAGGAAACAGGAAAGGCAGCCTCATTCTGCTGCATCAACAGGAGGCCAGTCTTCGCTGGGCTCCAGGCGTCACAGGCAGCAGAGCAGCGGCGGAAGTAGACAGGGCTTGGAGAGTTATAAGCCATTCCCTAGTGCAGCTTGTGGCTTTCAGAAGTAGATTCCCTGAAAGAGACTCACTCCACGTTCATTGAAATTCATAGATAAGCTACAGAAACAGCAAAACACAAGCTATTTAGCAAACTTTAATTACTCAACTGAAGTAATAAAATATGCATGAGAAAAGAGAACATCCAGCTAGTCTATAAACTAGCCAACAAATTAATTAGCACTTAATAACAGGAAATTTCTATCAATTGGCAAAAGCACCATAAATTACTTGTGGAATACAAAGATTTTATTTTTCTGTTACTATTTTCAGTAACTAAGTTTTGGCCATTATTCACGATGTTTTATTTGGAGAATACAGCATGATTAATAGAATATAATATTAATAATCTTGAAAATTGATTTCAGAATGTGATATCTACCTTTAATAAAGGGCTAACAACATATTTTGATATAGAAATATTGGTCAAATGCTTCAACTGACATCTTTACTTCCCCAATATTAAATTTAATATCAATGTAATGGATAAGGCAATACTTAACATTATTGCATGGCAGGGCCCCATAGTACTTAATGTAGGAAGCAAGATTTACATGTGGAGTATGAGAGCTGCAGAATTTGAAACATTCATGTTAGCATTGGAAAAATTGATTTTATGCTTGCATGTAGTAGAACTTGTATTACGTCTATAGTAGGCTCATACATTCGAGAAAAAATAATTCAACCCCCAAAAGATGTGTAGTAGTTGGCCTTATGGAATATGCAAGATCATTAAATAAAAGTAGTAAGGATATCTGAATAAAGTCTAAATATCTATTTTATATCAATAAAGATATAATAAACCCACTTATTAAAGTTGGCTTAAATACTGTATTGAAAAAAAATTGTATGTTAAACACAAAAGATTCAACTTCAAAATAAAAAAAAAAATAGACAAGGAATCCCTAAGCAAATATTCACAAAAAGAAAGCTGAGTGGGTTTTCCACAGGCAGAGTGAGATCAATGAGATCCAGTGAAGCATGGTATAATAACGAAGAGTACAATGTTTAATGAGGTTTTATGCAAAAATGTTTATGTGCCACATAGCAGCAATCTAGCACAATCTAACTCACATCCATACATTTCAGAAATTGTAGTAATTACTATTCTACTTCTTCTGAGAAAGCAAAGATACAAAAGTAAGAAAATGTGTAAGGGATCAAAACAACATAATTGATATGATTACACTAATAGTCAATAAAATGTATCTTGATAGAAATATATGTTAAGTTGTATTAAACATTTAATTAAAATTGTAAATATATACAATCATCAAGAGAAGAACAATAAATTCCAAAAGGTAAACAGAATGTACTTTCTAATCATGGAAAATAAAATTGTGAAATTATAATCAAAATAGAAAAAACAAAAAGCAGAAACATATCTGGAAGTTATGAAATCTTAGTAAGCAACACTTACACTAAAGATGATACATAAATTATTATTACCTGATAATGAAAACGTCTATACATCAAAGTATATTGAATATAGTTAAAACTATATTCACAGGAAAATTTAGTCTTAATAACTGCACAAACAAATAACAAAGAGCAGGCCGGGCGCCGTGGCTCACACCTGTAATCCCAGCACTTTGGGAGGCCGAGGCGGGCGGATCACGAGGTCAGGAGATCGAGACCACGGTGAAACCCCGTCTCTACTAAAAATACAAAAAAAATTAGCCAGGCGCAGTGGCGGGCGCCTGTAGTCCCAGCTACTAGGGAAGCTGAGGCAGGAGAATGGCGTGAACCCGGGAGGCGGAGCTTGCAGTGAGCCCAGATCGCGCCACTGCACTCCAGCCTGGGAGACAGAGCGAGACTCCATCTCAAAAAAAAATAAATAAATAAAAAATAAATAAATAAATAACAAAAGAGCATTTTTAAATAGACGGTGTTACCATGTAGCACAAATATTTATTTTTTAAGAGCAATAACATTACAGTAAAAAAAATAACCAATGAGAAAAACCAAAAAAGCAAAAAATACAAAACAAGCACACAAAAAAAATGCAATAAAATGAAACAGCCACTAGTTGGAAATAATCCCCTTAAAAATATAGAAATACAAACAGGAAACAAAATCAAAAGAGTAAAAAGGAATATAGTTATAGCTACAAAGTAATTTTTTAAATAGGTGCATGTGTTAAAACCTCAATGAAACAGATTAACTGATGGAAAAATGTTTTACCAAAATTGCTCCCATACGTAATAGGAATCCAAAACAAACAAACAAAAAATATTAAGGCATTGAAAAAGCATGCAGTTAATGTCTCTTTTCAAAGAATAAGATCCAAATGGTTTCATATACAAATAATTTCATACTCAACGGTAAATTATTTCAATACTAATTTGACCATGTCATACCATAGGAAAAAAAGGAACAGTTTTTATATTTTTTAAGGAAAGAAGCCAGTTACTATTCACCACAGAAAATTATAGATCAATAAAATATTTCAACCAATCTCATTTAGGATTGCCTGGGAAAATAATGAATAAATGAATGAACATGATGAAATTCAGCATTATTTAAAAATTAATTCATCACGATCAATAATGAGCTAAATTCATGATCAAATGAGCTAGATTCCTGGAATTCAACAATGCTCTATGTTTAGAAAATTGATTAATATGATACTCTTAGTATTAGGTCAAAAGAGAATGTGCAACATCACAATAGATATTGTAAAGGTATTTGAAAAATTCTTACATATTAATATGAACAAGCAAAAAACAAACAAAATTAAAATAGATCAATAGTTTCATCATCTTTCTCCTTGTCTCTGTCTCTCTCTCTCTCACACGCACACACACACATACACACACACCAGACACTCAAACATATTTATATGTACCGTATGTTTAGTGGCAAAATAATGGAAGCATTCCTAATGACACTTGCCCCATACCAAAGTATTCATTATTACGATATCGTCTAACTTGGACTAAATAGCACAATTTGGCAATATCAACCCAAATATATATTAGATATACTCATCAATACATGGATTCTATTATAAATATATCCTCTGGTAAAAGTCTACATGTTTTTTGTAATATATGAATATTTATTTATTGAAATCATAACTTATAATAGCAAGAAATTAAAACCATCAAGTTTTCCTAAGACACTATTTAATAACATGTAATAACATGTAAATCTAAAACGTTATTTTAATAACTTGTGCCCATTGTTTTCCAAAAAGGGAGATGTTAAGGTTGGAGATATTGGAAAGGAAAAAGGAAGGAAATCATTTCATTTTTTCATGTTCCAAAAGCAAAGTGTTAAATTGCTTTGGTTGTATTTGCCAGAGAACTTGGGAAACAAGCATGACTTTCCATGAAAATCCCATCAGAAAAGAACTGGGGAAAAATTCATAAACTAAGAATTTTTCACTTTATTGTCACTTTTAAATTACAGCTCCTCTCCCTTTTTCAATACGCAAGCATGTAGGGTAGCAGTGATCTCCAAACTTGTGCACCTGAGCTTAATGAAGAGCATGTAATGAGGAGAATGTAAATGCCACACAGCAGCAGTTTACAAACAAGCAAGCAAGTTAATCCAGTGTGGGTTAAAACAACACCGTGCACTGCATTTTGTCCCATAAAAAGCAATAATCTAAAAGGATACAATATGTGCGCAACACAGATGAAAAGTATAATTGAATCGCAGGCGGAAGGGAAAAGAAAAATAATCCTACAAAGGAAGGTAGTCGTTCAGCTGAAAATCAAAGCCTGCTGCTTCCCAAGTTACTTAGTAGTTTACTTTCTATTGCTTCTATAACCAACTTTGTAAACTACCTGTGGATCACAGCTTCTCCTATTGGGCGCATCTGTGAGTGCACATTTTAGCTACCACAACACCGTAGTGTGTGAAATACATGAGCCAGCAACCTACGAAGGAAAGGATATGTGACATTTTACCACAAAGAAACAATATATCCTCACATTGTTTATACATGTGTACGTTAAATCTTTATTTTGTATGTAACGTACTGAAATATTGTAATCACATATATTGATTCCAAGCAATACTATCAATTGCTATGGGAAAGTATTTCACCTGAACAGTCATTCGCTTCCGAAATGGAGAAAATGGAAGGTCTTTACATTATAAAAGAAGACAACAAAAGCTAAGGTTTTAAGTCTCTTAATTACAAAAACAATTCAGCATCTCAATTAAGCATTATCATGATTTTTGGCATCAATGGGCAAGGAAGATAAATGCTTAGCATTAAATAAATCACTGAGCAAAATGTTTTGCATGCAAAACTTTCAAGTTGTCCTTTTGTCAAGTCTTAGCTCCATACAAGTGAACGTTTCCTGCTTTCAAGGGACCCAGAATGTGTTGAAACTATTCAGACTTTTAGTTATTTTGAGATATAAGAAATTCTGTCACATCTTGGATAGAAGTTATGTGAGGACTAAAATTGTGCTCATGTGTATGTTTATGTGAGTGCTTGTGTATTTGTTCTTCTGATTATATTCCTCCAGCAACCACAAAAATACTGAGCCCAGAAGAAATGGGCTCCATTTGCCATGATGAAAGACACAACGTATACTGTGGCTCTTAACCATAGTAGTATAATATTTCAGGGTAAAGGAAGGAGGGAGTACTGACCCCGTTATAAAGAAAACTGCCCTAAAATGTCACATGACCTCATTTTACTACTTCTGCTATCTCACCATTCACCAGAGTATGAGTTCTAACATCAGTAACTACATCAGTCCCACTGAGGAACTCAATTCTCAATATGACAGACTGGATCACATCAATAAATGTTTTAAGCACACATAAGAGTTTAGTGATAAACCAATTTCACATGGATTCAATTATGTCATTTCTCAATGCTTGCTTTTAAATCAATAGTATTCACATATATATATATAAAGTATGCTTGAGTATATTTATATTTTAAGGCAGTTTTGTAACCTTTCAGCTTATAATACTTTTAGAAATTAAAAACTGTATCTTTAAACAATAGATTTAAATCAATAATGAAAGTATCCATTTCCTTATAACTTATAACATTGTATTTGTTACAACAATTAAACAACACTCTATGCTTACTAAATATTAATTACTATAAAATATAACACTGTTTATTTTAAGACTGTGATTCTGGGTCAGACATAAAATTTGAAAGTTTTTATTTTTTCAGTATCCAGTTCGGTATATGGAACTGGTGAGGCCATTCTTCCTCAAAGAACGTGAAAAAGCAAGCATAATCTTGTGATTACTCTTGGAGAGAGAGGTAGCACTGGGAAAAAAGGTGAGAACTATAAGCCATATACTAGATGTTTATTTCTTCTTTTATTAAAGTGTGTAATATATTACTTTGTGCTTACACTACTATGTACATACAATTGAAATGTATTTCCACAACTTATAAATGTGGTTTGAACAATGAAAAAAACTGTATACTTAAATAATTAATATAATAATTACTTTCCCTCAAATGTTAAAGTATTAAAACTAAAAGTGACCCTAAATGTTACCTAATTCATCTGTTTATTTTCTGTTAGAAAACATACAAACTAAAACTTACAAGGGACTTTGAAGAGTTAAACAATTTTCCCAGGTCACTTGCAAATAAAAGATAGTAGGTAGAAGATTAGAGTTGGCCCCCTTTTCATTGTACTTTGCAATATATAATTTCCCTTTCCATTTGAATTTATATAAAAAAGAAATCATGGGGGAGAGAGTAATTGAAAAGAATCGGCATAAAATGACTTCATAATAATATCAACTACTTAAGCAATAGGTAGCACTAGGCCTTTCCTTTATCACTCTAATTTGAACAGACTTGTTTTTGTTTTTGTTATTACCTGAGGCTCACTATCATCTTTAGAGAAATTCTTACAAATCAGGTAAAGCTCAAGAAGACTACTAATAATTCACAATATTGAGAAGAAACAGTGCAGAGATGACTTTAATGTGACCAGAATTCACTTATTCCACCAGTTATTATAGAGTCAGCATGGTAAAAATTTACCAGTAAATCCATACAGATTTATTAATTTGTCAACTTCTTTAAAGCTTTTCAATTTAAGAAAATTGTATATAGTATCATCTTAAGATCTTTTAATACTTATAGAATCTGCAATTATATCTTGTATGCATCTCTTATATTGAAATTTTGTGTCTTATTTATTCTTGCTAGATATCCCATTGCTTTTAAAAATAATGTATCTACATTATTTTTACATAAATAACAAATGTATAAATATATTTTATAGATACATTATAAAGTTTGTTCATTCATCAATTTAAACATTCTGTATCTTGTTATTTTTGATCTAATATTTTATGTCTATTCACTTCTCTGTCCATGTACTTATTTTATTTGTTTATCTTAGGTAATAAAAGATATATTGAAAAACATCAAGTATCTTCCAAAATTAACAGGAAACCTACAATTTAGGCTCAATCTCAGAACCCTGGGGGCACAAAGATACCACTGTCTCCTTCCAGAGAAAACAGCCACACCCTAATTACTGCCCTCTACTCCCCCAAACCTGGGCAGGTGCAGCTACAAGAAACTCATTCTTCCTCTAAAGCCACGTTAAAAAAATCATACCATAGATTTTGAGAGAAGATTAATAAATATTATTAGGTTGGTGGAAATGTCATTTTTTCATAAAATTCTGTTTCATGTATTCAAAACTCTTTTGATTACTGCACAGTTTCATGATGACCTCTGCTCTTCGTTGGTATTTCCTTTTCACCACTATGAGGTGTTTCTCTTTACTCCTATTTAGTGTGATTTGCCTTAAATAATATTTTTATAATAGTAATATTGTCACCACAGCTTCCTTTTCTTACTATTTTCCTGCTATATCTTTTTCATCCCTTAATATTCAACATAAAAAAAAATTTCCTTTAAGTGAGACTCTTTCAGGTAGCACAACTTAACTTTTTAAAAATGTTTAAAACGTGATATTTTGTCAAACAAGGAAAGAAAATAAAGTTCAATTTTCCAAAATTTTATTAAACTAAGTTATATTACAAATATGAAATTTCACAACCGAGCAGTGAAATTTGCTGTAATGGCAAACAAGTATAAATTCTTTTCTCAGTTTTCTTATTTCTGTGGTTAAAAAGCAACAACATAATCATCTTTTAAGCGTAGAGTATGTAGAGTATACTGGCATTAATGATATGCATCTTGTTATACAACATGTCTCTGGAATTTTTCATCTTGCAAAACTGAAACTCGATATCCTTTGACAACAACTTTCCTTTTCCTCCTTCTCCCACCTTCTGGCAACCACCATTCTACTTTCCATTTCTCAGAATTTGTCTACCCTAGGCACTTGAACTAAATGGGCTCATGAAGCATTGGTTTCTGTGGCTGGCTTGTTTCACTGAGCACAATATCCTCAAGGTTCATCCATGTTGAATCACATGGCAGGATTTTCTTCTATTTTAAAGGCTGAATGATATTCCATTGCATGTATATCTTGGACATCTAAGTTACTTCCTCATCTTTGCATTGTCAATAATGCTGCAATGAACATGAGTGTGCAAATATCTCTTCAAGATCATGTTTTCAATTCTTTTGAATATATATCCAAAAGTAAGATTGCTGGATCATACGGTAATTTTATTTTTAAATTTTTGAGGAACCTCCATATTGTTTTCCATAGTGGCTGCATGACTTCGCAACCTCACCGACATAGCACAAGGGATCCAATTTCTCCACGCCTTTTCCAAAACTTGTTATTTTCTAGGTTTGTTTTATTGTTTTGTTTTGTTTTGTTTTGTTTCTATAGTGGCCATCCTAAGAGGTGTGCAGTACTATCTCCTTGAGGTTTGTATTTGCATTTCCCTGATGATTCGTGATGTTGAACATCTTTTCATTTGCTTGTTAGCCATTTGTACACCTTCTTTGGAGAAAGGTCGACTTAAGCCCTTTGCCCATTTTAGAATTTATTCATTTATTTGTTCTTGAGTTATAGGAGTTCATATAGGTTCTGAATATTAACCCCTTATCATAAAAATAGTTACAAATATTGTCTTTCATTTCCTGCCACACCGTTGTTTCTTTTGCTTTGCAGAGATTTTAAGTTTGAAATTGCCTCATTTGTCTATATTTGCTTTTGTAGCCTGTGCTGGTGGGATCATATCAAAACATCTGTGGCTATATCCAATATCAGGAAGCTTCCTAGATGTTTTATTCTAGGAATTTTATAGTTTCATGTCTTGCATTTAGGTCGTTAATCCATTTTGAGTTAATTGTTCCATATAGTATAAGGTAAAATTCCAACTTCATTTTTTTTGCATGTAGATATCCAGTTTTGCCAACACCACTTGTTGAAGAGACTAACTTTTTCCCATTGTGTATTCTTCATACCCTTGCTAATTATCATTTGACCCATATATGTGAGGATTTATTTCTGTGCTCTCCATTCTGTTTAACTGGTCTGTGTGTCTGTCTTTATGCAGATACTTTACTGTTTTGATTATTGTAAGTTTGTAGTGTGTTTTGAAATCACAAACTGTGAAGCCTCCAGCTTCATTTGCTTTCTCAATTTTTGGTATCTTTTTAGATATTTATATGCAGAATAGCTAAGTTGTATATCTATATCTTCAAAATAATATTGCCCAAGTCAACTATTTATATCCCAAGGAAATGTTTATATAGTACTCAAGGTGCAGAATATAAAGTTGAAGCATAAAATTGTAAAAACATTTTTTCTCCTTCCAAAATAGTGGGATTTTGATATTTGGGTCCTTTGAGTTTCCGTATGAATTTTATTTTTATTTTTTTATTTTTGAAAAAATGCCATTGAACTTTACTTGTTATTTATTTTTTATTATACTGTAAGTTCTGGGGTACATGGGCAGAACATGCAGCATTGTTACATAGGTATACATGTGCCATGGTGGTTTCCTGCACCCATCAACCTGTCATCTATATTAGGTATTTCTCCTAATGCTATCTTTCTCCTAGCCCCCCGACTCCCCGATAGGCCCCGGTGTGTGATGTTCCCCTCCCTGTGTCATTTTTCAACTCCCACTTATGAGTGAGAACATGCGGTGTTTGGTTTTCTGTTCCTGTGTTAGTTTGCTGAGAATGATGGTTTCCAGCTTCATCCATGTCCTTGCAAAGGACAGGAATTCATCCTTTTTTATGGCTGCATACTTTTCCATGGTGTATATGTGCCACATTTTCTTTATCCAGTCTATCATTGATGGGCATTTGGGTCGGTTCCAATTATTTGCTCTTGTGAACTGTGCTGCATTAAACATACGTATGCATGTGTCTTTACAGCAGAATGATTTATAATCCTTTGGGTATATACCCAGTAATGGGATTGCTGGGTCAAATGGTATTTCTGGCTCTAGATCCTTGAGGAATCACCACACTGTCTTCCACAACAGTTGAATTTACACTCCCACCAACAGTGTAAAAGTGTTCCTATTTCTCCACATTCTCTCCAGCATCTGTTGTTTCCTGACTTTTTAATGATCGCCATTCTAACTGGCGTGACATGGTATCTCATTGTGGTTTTCATTTGCATTTCTCTAATGACCAGTGATGATGAGCCTTTTTTCATGTTTCTTGGCCACATAAATGTCTTCTTTTGAGAAGTGTCTGCTCACATCCTTTGCCCACTTTTTGATGGCGTTGTTTTTTCTTGTAAATTTGTTTAAGTTCTTTGTAGATTCTGGATGTTAGCCCTTTGTCAGATGGATAGATTGCAAAAATTTTCTCCCATTCTGCAGGTTGCCGGTTTACTCTGATGATAGTTTCTTTTGCTGCACAGAAGCTCTTTAGTTTAATTAGATCCCATTTGTCAATTTTGGCTTTTGTTGCCATTGCTTTTGGTGTTTTAGTCATGAAGTCTTTCCCTATGCCTATGTCCTGAATGGCACTGCCTAGGTTTTCTTCTAGGGATTTTATGGTTTTAAGTCTTACGTTTAAGTCTTTAATCCATCTTGAATTAATTTTTGTATAAGGTGTAAGGAAGGGGTCCAGTTTCAGTTTTCTACCTATTGCTTGCCAGTTTTCCCAACATTATTTATTAAGTAGGGAATCATTTCCCCATTGCTTGTTTTTGTCAGGTTTTTCAAAGATCAGATGGTTGTAGCTGTGTGGCGTTATTTCTGAGGTCTCTGTTCTGTTCCATTGGTCTATATATCTGTTTTGGTACAAGTACCATTCTGTTTTGGTTACTCTAGCCTTGTTGTATAGTTTGAAGTCAGGTAGTGTGGTGCCTCCAGCTTTGTTCTTTTTGCTTAGGATTGTCTTGGCTATATGGGTTCTTTTTTGGTTCCATATGAACTTTAAAGTAGTTTTTTCTAATTGTGTGAAGAAAGTCAATGATAGCTTGATGGAGATAGCATTGAATCTATAAATTACTTTGGGCAGTATGGCCATTTTCACAATATTAATTCTTCCTATCTATGAGCATGCAATATTTTTCCATTTGTTTTGCTCTTCTTTTATTTCCTTGAGCAGTGGTTTGTATTTCTCCTTGAAGAGGTCCTTCACATCCCTTGTAAGCTTTATTCCTAGGTATTTTATTATTTTTATAGCAATTGTGAATGGGAGTTCACTCATGACTTGGATTGTGTTGAATCTGTAGGTCACTTCGGGTAGAATGAACATTTTAACGTTATACTAAGTTTTTCAATCTGTGAACACGGAATGTCTTTCTATTTATTTGTGTCTTTAATTTCTTTCAGCAATGCTTTGTAGTTTTCAGTGTTCATCTTTTGCCTCCTTGGTTAAGTTTATTGTTGAGTACTTTATTCTTTTTGATGCCATTGTAAATGTTATTGCTTTCCTAATTTCCTTTTTGGATTATCCATTGTTAGTTTATAGAAACGTGACTGATTTTTGCATGTTGATTTCAGATCTTACAACTTTACTGAATTCATTTATTAATTATAATAACTAATTGTGGACTCTTTAGAGTTTCCTACATATAGGCTTATGTCATCTGCTATCAGAGATACTTTTACTTCTGCAATTTCAGTTTGGATACTGTTTATTTCTTTGTCCTGCCTAACTGCTCTGACTAGGACTTCCAGTGTTATTTGAACAGAAGTAGTGAGAGTGGGAATCCTCTTCTTGTCCCTGATCTTACAGGAATGGCTTTCCATTTTTCCCTGTTGAGTGTAATGTTATCCGTGTGATTTTTATGTATGGCCTCTATTATGTTGAGGTATTTTGTTTAATTCCCAGTTTGTTGAGAGTTTTCATCATGAAGAGAGTCAAATCTTATCAAATTCTTACTCTGCATCAAATTCTTGTTCTGAGATGACTGTGTGGTTTCTGACTTTCGTTCCTCAATGTGGTACATTACACTAATTGATTTTTACATGTTAAACGATCTGCTATGGTTTGACTGTGTGTCCCCTCCCAAACACATGTTGAAATGTAACCGCCTTTGTTAGTATTAAAAGGTCTCATCTTTTAATACTATTACAAAGGCGGTTACATTTCAACATGTCACACACCGGGGACTGTTGTGGGGTGGGGGGAGGGGGGAGGGATAGCATTAGGAGATATACCTAATGCTAAATGACGAGTTAATGGGTGCAGCACACCAACATGGCACATGTATACATATGTAACAAACCTGCACGTTGTGCACATGTACCCTAAAACTTAAAGTATAATAATAATAAAATTAAAAAAGAAAAAAAAAAGATGAGACCTTTAAAAGGTGAGTAGGCCATTCAGGCTCTGCCCTCATAAAGGGATTAATGGCATTATTGCAGGAGTAAATTTCTTAAAAAGGATGAATTTGGTTCCCTTTTATCTCTCTCACCCTCTCATCCCTTCCCATAAGATGATGCAGCAAGAAGCCTCTCACCAGATGCCAGCACCTTGATATTGGACTTCCCAGGCTCCAGAACCGTGAGAAATACATTTCTTTTCTTTATAAATTACCCAGTCTCTGGTATTCTGTTATAATAGCACAAAATGGGCTAAGTCACCATCCTTGCATTCCAGTAACAAATTCAAGTTGGTTATGGTGTATAATTATTTTAATGTGCTGATGAATTTGGTTATCTAGCATTTGCTGAGAATTTTGCATCAGCTTTCATCATGGACATTGGTCTATAATTTTTTTCTTCTAGTATCTTTGTTTGGCTTTGGTATCAGAATAATGGTGACATCATAAAATGAATTTGAAACAGGTTGAGAAGGACTGACATTAAGAATTTTTTTAAAGTTTCATAATAATATAGTTTATTTCTTTTAGTTGATTACTCCATTTACCTTCATTAATATATATAATATATTTAACTTATTTATAGCATCTTATTTTGTGTGCTGCACTTACTAGTTTTTTTTCTATCCATTTTAACTTTAATTCCATATTTCACTTTATTGTTCACATAAAGCCTGTTGCACAGACTTCTCTCCCTATATGGCATTAAAGACACAACCCTTGTGGTTAAGATTTATATTTGGTATAAATTCTCCTGAGGTATCACACATTTATCTGACTTTAAGTTTTATCTATAATCCTAAAATTATACAACTCTTATTTCAATATAGACTCAAAAATAATTTTGTTATATTTTATTCAGTCACCCATTCTATTGGAGGCAAATAGAAGGATTCCTAAAATAGTTTAGTAGCTTCCAGACTTCCAACTATTTTTTAGTTTGGAAACTTTTTGACAAGTTTTAATATATTTACTTCCATTTGTTTATGCTGACCAGATAATAATATTCTAGCATCAAAATATGCCAAATCATTAAACATCTTAAGTAGATTTTCTTCAAATGGAGAAACACCAAATAATTTTTTAAAGTTTTAGTTCTTGAAAACAGAAATCTTGATATTTATTTCATCAGGAGACTAAGAGATGTGAATGACAGCATTTCATAGGATATCTGACAACCCTGGTGTAGGTAAAAGGCAAAGAGGCAGGAATTAAGTTGGAAATTGAGAAAAGACTGTGAATAATGGCAAGCAAATTGTGAGCAAAGAAGAAAACTAAAATATTGCTCAAATTTATGTGACCAAAAAATAATGACACTAATAATCAAAATAGAATACCTAGAAAACTGATCTGAGTTAAAGATTGGGATACATATTATGAATCCCTTTTAAAATTTTAACATTGAAATAACAAAGTGTTTTCTAAATTGGCATACTATAATAAATAAAAATTGTAGGTCCCAAACTCTGTATTTCTAGGTGATAGGGTTTGGCTGTGTCTCCACTCAAACCTCATCTTGAATTGTAGCTCCCATAATTCCCATGTGTCATGGGAGGGACACAGAGGGAGGTAATTAAATCATGGGGGCAGGTCATGCCCCAAACTGTTCTCATGTTTGTGAATAAGTCTCACTAAACCTGATGGTTTTATAAATGAGAGTTTCCCTGCACAAGCTCTTTCTTGCCTGCTGCCATGTGAGACATGTCTTGCTTTCCCTTTGCCTTCTGCCATGACTGTGAGGCCTCCCACCCATGTGGAACTGTGAGTCAATTAAACCTCTTTCCTTTATAAATTACCCAGTCTTGGGTATGTCTTTATTAGTATTGTGAGAATGTACTAATAGACTGGGTACGATTAAGAATGCTAGTATTTGAAATTATGAGAATGACAAGCAATAAGAAAAACAAAGATGCATTTATACGTTTACAAATATTTACTGAGAACCCACTCTGTGAGGACACTCTTCCAGGTGCTGAGCAACACAACTATTAAAAACAAGAAGACAATCTAAATCCTCAAGAAATTTTATATTTCAGAGATAAAGTCAGATATTAAGCAAATGAGATTAATTATATTTGCTAAAATAAATGAATTTCTGAGATAAAAATAATGGGGATAGGGGACACTCAGGGAAAGCCTTGAAAGATGAGAAAGAAACAGTTATGCACAGAGCAGAGAGAAGGGGAAAGGCCTCAGGGGAAAGGCTCAGTACAGCAAACTCCGAAAGCACCAAGGAACTCACTTTGTGGAAGGGGATAGGAAGCCAAAATGTTGGGAATGGCATGATCATTATGAGCAAGAAGGAGTTGGAAGATATAAAATAATCATAGTTAGGTTTGGAAGGAAAAATAGCAGGCACATTTTGCAGGTACTTGCAGGCTTTTTTAAAAGATTAATTTTAAGTGCAAGGTGCTGAGCTTACCTAGTAAGACAAATGACTTTAAAAGTTCAATCTGGCTTCTGCATTACAGTTATGCTATGATCCAAATGCTCCTATCTCCACAAAATTCATATGTTGAAATTCTAACCTGCAAGGCAACAGTTTCTGGAGATGGGACCGTTGGGAGGTGACTGAGTCATGAAGGTAAAGACCTCATGCTCGGGATTAGTGCCCTTATAAAACAGACAACAGCGAGCTGACCAACCCCTTCTACCCTGTACAAACACAGCAAGAAGGTGTCATCTATGATCCAGGAGAAAGGTCCTCACCAGACACCGAATCTGCCAGCACCTCAATCTTGAACTTTCCGGCTCCAGAACTGTGAAAAATAAATGACTGTGGTTTGTAAGCTGCCATTTCAAAGCTATTTTGTTACAGCCGCCCAAACTGATGAAAACAGGTGGATCCTGGAGGGGCAAAAATGTATACGAGGACAAAAATGAGGAAATTATTGAAATATTTATACAAAAGAGAATATTGGCTTTGAATATGTGATCACAACAAACTCATCTCTTTAATCATACACACTGAGAACAGGGTCTGAGACCTGTTGTATAATTTAAAGTATTGGGTCAGTCTGAGGAAGACAAGCAATAGATGAATAAGGTGAAGAGGGTTAATCAGAGAAGCAAGAAGTACGTTTATTGAAAAAATGCCCCTTAGAACCCAAGGAAGAGGAGAAGTTGAAGTAAATAAAATCCCTTCCTGTGGTAGCCAGGGCTGGAACAATGGTGATGAGGTTTCCAAGGAAAGCATGGATTTAATTCGTATCATTATATAAAATTATTGGAAACTGATAAACCTGAATTAAAATGCTTCTCTAGCATACAAATCTGCCAATAATTTAAATCTAGAATATTTTCTCTGTCCCACTCTACATTCAGTTACACTTTCCTTCTGGACCACAACATGCAGGAGTAAGTGGACTGCAAATTCCAGAACATCTCATCCACCACGTTAGAAAAAAGAGCCAGATACAGAGTGTAACATAATTTGGTCATCTTTAGACTCCAAGCCCTGTATCATGTTGCATGAGTCACAGTAGATTAAACACTACGTAAAGTTCAGTTTATATTAATATGGGAGAGAGTAAATAAAGATAATGTCACTAACGAAGTTCTCATGCAAACATATTAGCCACAGGTAATTGTAATATAACTTCATTGCTCAAATAGCTGAAGGATACTCATGCTTTTATTTTTAAAATGAGCTTTTTACCTTAGAACAGCTTAAAACGTACAGAAAAATTGTGAAGATAGTACAGAGTTTTCATACGACCCATATCAAGTTTCCTCTATTACTAATACCTTATATTAGTACGGTACATTTATACAATTAATGAATAAATATCAATGCATTATATTAACTAAAGTCCATACTTTATTTGTATTCCCTTGGTTTTTACCTAATGTTCTTTCCCTGTTCCAGTGTTCCATCCAGGATACCATATTGCATGTAGTTGTCATGCCTTCTTAAGCTCTGATTGGCTGTGACAGTTTCTCAGAATACCCTTGTTTTTAAAAATCTTGGTAGTTATGGCCGGGCACGGTGGCTCACGCCTGTAATCCTAGCACTTTGGGAGGCCGAGGCGGGCGGATCACGAGGTCAGGAGATCGAGACCATCCTGGCTAACACGGTGAAATCCTGTCTCTACTAAAAATACAAAAAATTAGCCAGGCGTGGTGGCGGGCGCCTGGGGAGGCTGAGCCAGAAGAATGGCGTGAACCCGGGAGGCGGAGCTTGCAGTGAGGCGAGATCGCGCCACTGCACTCCAGCCTGGGCGACAGAGCAAGACTAGGTCTCAAAAAAAAAAAAAATCTTGGTAGTTAGGAGGCGTTGATCGGGTATTTTGTATAAAGTTCCTGAATATGGATCTGTCTAATGTTTCTGTCAAGATTAGACCAGGGTTATAGGTTTTTGAATGAAGACCCTAGAGATAAAATGCCATTCTCATCATATCATATCAATGGTATAAACTATGGACATGACCTATCACTGCTGATATTGACCATGATCACCTGGCTGCAGTGGCATCTGTCAAGTGTCTCCACTGTAGAGTTACTTCCCTTCCACTCCACACTGTGCCGTTTGAAAGGACGTCTCCATGCACCGCCCACACTTAAGGAATCAAGAGTTATGCTCAACCTCATTGAATAAAGATTACCTATACAGATTATTCAAAATTCTTCTGTATGGGGAATTTGTTCATTATCTTGTATTTATCAATTTATTCAATAACTTATTTTTATCAGTATGAAATCATGGCTTTTTATTTTAAATTTGGGTTGCCATCCAATTCTACTCATTTTTGTTTGTTTGTTCAATCTTTCCCATTTTGACGTGGGGACTCTTCCAGGTGGCTCTGCGTCTCTTTGACATCCCCCTATTATGGTAGGTTTGGGTTTTCTCCTTTTTTGTTATTTTTCATTTTTAGCACTGCCTTAACTCTGGCACTACCAGATGCACTGTGTTTCTATTGTATTGTTTCTGCCCCATTTCTGGAATCAGCCATTTTTGTAAGAAGCTCTGGTTCCTTTTCCTGGAGAATGCTACTAGAAACTAAGGTCTGACACTAGGTGTGCTTGCTAATATAGGTGAGTTATTGCTTTCAGGCCCCCTCGACTGACAAAGCAAGGGTATGTGTGTGTGTACTATTCTGTGTATGTACATATCTGTGAATTTTTATATGTAATTATCTGCATCTGTATTATGCTAAACATGAGTTCATACTGATGTCTCCAACTAATCCATTACCACATGGATCATTCTAGCCTCCACTTCTAACTTATATATAATCTTCCATCCCAATAGCAAGAAACCTGGTTTTCATCATCAGCTATCCAATTAACTAGTATCCAATTCAGTATACCTGTATTACAGTATCAGAGTTGTTATCTTGTGGGAAGCAACTTTACCAACTAGAGTACAGTGTTTACATGAAGTTGCTCATGACTTTAGTTTTACAGACTACTGATTTCCAAACTTACTTAGGTAAGCACTTTTTCCGCTATCACTTCAGTCATACAGTTTGATACATTTGTAATACAGTTAGATTTTTTCACATTCTGCATTACATTCTGGAGGTCCCCAATCTCCTAAATTATACTTTTAAAATTTGCACACATTAAGGTGCACTGTTTATGCTACAAAGCTCAGTGGGTTTTGACTACCACATATTCACCATTACAGTATCATGAAGAATAGTTTCATTGCTCTAATAAATCCCCTGAACTTCATCTCTTTAATATATTTCCTTTCTCCCACCCCCAACACCCCCAAGCCCCTGGAAACCACTATCTTTTTTTAAAATCATCACTATAGTTTTGTCTTTTTTGGACTGTCATCTATGAAGTATATAGACTTTCCAGACTAGCTTCTTTCATTTAGCAATGTGCATCTTCATACAAGTCTTTTCATGGCTTGATAGCTTCTTTTTATTACTGAATAATATTTTATTGTATGAACACACCATGATATATTTATGAATTTACCTACTGAAGGACATCTTGGTTGTTCCAGTTTTTGGTGATTATGAATAAAACTGCTATAAATATTCACAATTTATGTGAATTTACCTACTGAAGGACATCTTGGTTGTTCCAGTTTTTGGTGATTATGATTAAAACTGCTATACATATTCATAATTCAATTTTAGTATAAAAACATGTTTTCAAATCCTTGGCTAAAGAACAAAGAGTATAAAAGTTGGATTGCATAAAGACAGTATTAACTGTCTGTCAAACTGTCTTGAAAAGTGATTGTACAATTTTGCATTCCCACCAGCAATGAATGAGATTTCCTGTTGCTCTACGTCCTCACTAGCATTTGGTAATGTTAGTGATTAGGATTTTGGCCACTCTAATAGATGTTTAGTAATATATCATCTTTCTTTCAATTTGCAATTCCTTAATGACAAATAATGTTGAGCATCTTTTCATATGATTATTTTCCATCTGCCTGTCTTCTTTGATGAGATTTCTGTTCACATCTTTTGGTTTCTTCTTAGTTTTAGACATTTTTTGTATATTTTGAACACAATTTTTTTCTTTTTTGAGAGATAGGATCTTGCTCTCACCTAGGATGGAGTTCAGTGGCACAATCATAGCTCACTGTAGCCTCCAACTTCTGGGCTCAAGTGATCCTCCTACCTCATACTCCTGAGGAATTAGCACCATAGGCATATGCCACCGTGTCTATTATTTTTTAAAATTCTTTGTAAAGATTGTTTCTCACTTTGTTGCCCAGGCTGGTCTCAAACTCCTGGCTTCAAGTGATCCTCCTGCTTTGGCTTCCTGAAGTGCTGGGATTACAAGCATGATCCACCACACCTGGCCCAATATCTTTATCATATATGTATATTGTGATTTTCTCTCTCCGTCAGTTATTTATTTTTTCATTTTCTTAAGAGTGCACTTAGAAGAGCACAGGTTTTTTATTGTAATTTGGTACAATCTATCAATGTTTTTCTTTGTAGATTGTATTTTTGCTGTTAGATCTAAAACAAATAAACAAACCTAGTTCTCTTACATTTTCCCTATGCTTTCTAGAAGTTTTGTATTTTTGCACTTTACATTTATATCCAGGAATCATTTATATTTGATATTTGTAAAAGGTGTAAGCTTTCATTTTTTTGCTTATGAACAGCCAATTTTTCCAGCAGCACTTATTGAAAAGTTTATTCTTTTTTCATTGAATTGCCTTTGGTCCTTGACATTATTTGTGGCAGTTCATTTCTGGGATCTCTGCTCTGTCCCATTGATCTATGTGTCTATGTGTTCACCATTTATATGCTCTCTTGATCATTGTAACATTATAGGAAATGTTGAAATAGGGTGGGGTTGCTCCTCCAATGTTCTTCTTTGATATTGTAGTGGCTGTTCTAGGTCTTTTGCCTTTACCATATAAACATGAGAATGAGTTTACTGGTATCTACAAAGTTACATGCTGATATTTTGATTAGAATTTCATTGAATACATAGATCAAGTTGGCAACTAATAATATCCTAACAATATTGAGACTTACAATTCATTGATACAAAACATCTCTCCATTTATTCATACCTTTAATGATTTTCATCATCAGAGTTTTGTAGTTTTTTTCACATATAAATTCTGTATATATTTTGTGAGATGTATAACCAAATATTTCATTTGGTAATGATATGGTGGTGCAAATTTTATTGTTTAAATTTTAAACTCCAAGTATTCATTGTTAGTATAGAGTAAACTAATTTACTTTATAATCCTGTGACCTTGCTATACTTGCTTGCTAGTCCCAGGGATTGATTTATGTGTGAGTGTGTGTCTGTGTGTGTTTAGTAATTTCTTTGAATTTTTGTACATAGATTATCATGTAATGTACAAACAAAAATTTATTTCTTTTCAATATACACAACTTTTATTTCCTTTTCTTATCTCCAGTACAAAGCTGAATAGGAGCATTGAAAGTGGATGTCTTTGGTATATTCCCATTCTTAAGGGGAGACACCTAGTTTCTAAATATTAAGATAATTTTTGCTGTAAGATTTTTGTAAGTATTTTTTATCAAGTTGATTAAATTTATGTGTATATCTAGTTTGCTGAGTTTCTATCATGAATCAATATTGGATTTTGTCAAATGCCTTTTTTTATCTACTGATATGATCATACAACACTTTTTCTCTTCTCTAGCCTGTTGATGTGGTAGATTACATTGATTGATATTTGAATGCTGAACTAGTCTTGCATCTCTGGAATATCTCCCACATGGTCATATTCTTTGTATACATCATTCAGCTTGATTTGCAGTTTTGCTAAGGATTTTTACATCTTTGTTCATAAGCTATATTAGTCTGCTGTTTTCTTTCATTTTAATGCATTTATCTGATGTTGATAGTGGAGAAATGGTTGCCTTGATGAAAGAGTTAAGTATGTGTCTCTTTTTCTGGAGAGTCTATGGAAAATTAGTATAATTTTTTTCTTCAATATTTAGTAGAATTTACCAGTAAAAATATCTGGCCTAGTGCTTTTTTTTGAAAATTTACTAATTATTCATTCAATTTCATAATAGGTGTTTCAAATAGACCTGCTCATATTACCAGTTTCTCCTTGTGGGTGTATGGAAGTTTGTGTCTGTCAAAAAATTGATCCTTCTCATCTAAGTTACCAAATTTTTCGGCATAGAATTTTTCAAAGTATTCCTTTATTATCCTTGTAATGTCAATATAATCAGTAGAGAAAATACCTCTTTCATTTCATACATAGGTAATTTGTGTATTCTCAGTTTTATTGATATTTTCAAATAATCAGCTCTAGGTTTTGTTGATTTGCTCTATTTTCATCCTGTTTCAATTTACTTGATCTCTGTTCTAATTCTCACCAATCATATTCTGCATCTCTCAGGGTTACGATGATCCACTTTCTCTACTTCCCTCAGCTATAATTTTGGATTATTAATTTTAGATCTCTCTTCTTTTCTAATATATGCATTTAATGCTATATGTTTTTCTCTGGGTACTGCTTTTGATGCAGTCCACGAACTCTGATGTTTTATTTTCACTGTCATTTAGCTCAAAAAATTATTTCTCTTAAGATTTCTTCTTTAACCTGGGTGTTATTTAGAAGTATGTCATTTAATCTTTAAATCTGAAGATTTCTCAATTATTTCTGTTACACAAGTCTTTGTTAAATTCCATTGCTGAGAATTTATATAATTCTTTTAAAAAAATTGGTAGGATATGTTTTCTCATCTAGAATGTTGTCTATACTAATGAATGTTTTATGAGGCCTCAAGAGGGCTGTGCATCCTACCAATATTGAATGAATTATTCTATAAATTTCAATTAAATCAAATTGATTGATGGTACTGATCAGATCAACTATATCTTTACTGGTTTTCTGTCGACTTGACCTATTAATTGCTGGAACAGGTGTTTACAACTCCATGTATAACAGTGGATTTGTCTATTTTTATTACAGTTCTATCAGGTTTGGCCTCATGTATTTTGATGGTCTGTTGCTAGGCGCATACACCTTTAAAATTATTATCACTTCTTGGAAAACTGACCACTTTATCATAATGCATTTCCCTCTGTATCCTTGATATATTTTCTTGTTCTGAAGACTGCTATGTCCGCAATTAATATAGTTACTCTGGCTTTAAAAAAATTGGGCTGGGACACGTATCTTTGTCTATCCCTTTACCTTAAATTGATCTATGTCTTTATAATTAAGATGGACTTATTTTGGACAATACATAGTTTGTCCTTGTGTTTATTTTTATTTATCTACTCTGACAGTCTCTTTTAGTTGGTATATTTAGATCATTCACATCTAAAGTGATTATTGATATATTTATATTAATATGTACTATGTTTCTATTCAGTGCCCTTGGTCTTTATTTTTTATCTTCCCCAATTATCTGATTTTGCTAGTTTTAATCAAGAATTTTATATGATTCCATTTTCTCTCTCCTCTTTCAACATATCAATTATACCTTTTATAACAAATTAGTAGCTACTTAGAGTTTATAATATACATTTACAACTAATTTAACTCCACTTTCAAATAACGCTATACCACTTATTGAGTAATACAGGTACCTTATAACCAAGTACTCTTAACTCCTCTATCCCATCCTTTATAATGTTCTGGTAATCATTCCACTTACCTTTGTACTATCATCACACAACACATTGGTATTATTATTACGTTAACCAAGCAGTCTGGGATTACTAGAATTAGGTCTTTAAGAATAAGAAAATGAAAGATCGTTTTTCCCTCTACTTATTCATTCTTTGATGCTTTTCGTTTCCTTATATAGACCTCATTCTGTGACCTGTATCATTTTCTTTCTCGTTGAAAATATTTTTGAATATCTCTTTCAGTGTAGTCTCCTGGCAATGAATTTTCTCAGTTTTTGTTTGTCCAAGAAATTCTTTATCTCTCTTTCACTTTTGAAGTATAATTTTGCTTGATATAGAAATCTAGGTTGTTGAGGTATTTTTTCCTTTTTTTCTTTTAATACTTTAAAACATTTTCAGTATCCTCTTTTTGGTTTGTTTGTTTGTTTGTTTATTTTTTGAGATAGAGTCTCTCTGTCACCCAGCCTGGAGTGCAGTGGTGCAATCTTGGCTCACTGCAACCTCCACCTTCTAGGTTCAAGCGATTCTCCTGCCTCTGCCTCCCAAGTCACTGGGATTCCAGGTGCCCACCACCACATCCAGGTAATATTTGTATTTTTAGTAAGACAGGGTTTCATCGTGTTGGCCAGGCTCGTCTTGAACTCCTGACCTCTAGTGATCTGCCTGCCTCCGCCTCCCTATGTGCTGGGATTACAGGTGTGAGCCACCACACCCAGCCCATTTTCAGTATCCTCTTACTTGCATGTTTTCTGATGAGAAGTCCAATATAATTTTTTTTATATATAGATAACGTTTTATATTTCTCCGATGTATTCCATATTTTCTCCTTGTCATTGGTTTTCTGATGTTTGAACATATTATGTGTAGGTGTAAAATGTCTGGTATTTGGCCTGAATAGTGTTCTTTGAGTTTCTGGTTTTGAGGTATAATGTCTGTGAATAATCTTGGAAAATTCTGGCCCTTATTACTTAAGAGTAGTTTCTACACTCTGTAAGATTTTTCTTCTTCTTCTCATGCTCCAATTACCATATGTTACTTTCCCACAGCTCCTGCATATTCTCTTTATAATTATTTTCTCTCTTTGCATTTCAGTTTGGGAAGTTTATATTGACATATCTTCAAGCTCACTAATTATTTCCTCATCTATGACAAGTTTATTGGTGAGCTCACCCTTTACTTTTATATCTCTACCATATTAAAACCATATTAAAATATTTTTAGCATTCCTGTCTTTCCACTTACTTTATTCTTTGTTCTTGGATATTGTCTGGTTTTGTTTTTTTTTTTGTTTTTTTTTTGTTTTTTTTGTTTTCACAAAAGTCCTTAACATATTAATCACAATTATTTTAAATTCTCTGTCCGATAATTTCAACATCTGTGTTTGGTTCTGATGTTTGTCCTGTCTTTAGATTATGTCTTCCCTTGCTGTTAGTGTATCTTGTAATTTTTCAGTGAAGCCCAGACACAAAGTACCCGGTAATAGGATCTGAGGTATTGTTTACTTCACTAATGGCAAGGAATTGGGCTGTGTTTAATTTATGATGTAGCTGTAGGTCCCAAAGATCTCAAATTCGTGTAGTGTCTTTGTCTGCCTGTTGACTCCGGGCTTCCCTAAGTACTCTTCCTCAGAGAGACTTGGCACTTCGCAGCTCTTTCAGCTGTAGTCCACTGTTAACCAACTGAAGCTCTCTCTGTTGGTGTGGTGGCATGGCCTGGAAACAGAAAGCATCCTATAATCTCATGATTAAATCTCAGTCTGTCCTTGGATTTGAGTCTCTGGACCATGACCTTCAAAATTGTTTCTTAGCCTCCACCTTCCTGAAGTGTTCCTACCAGCTTATGTCTCTGGCATTTATGCTCCAGGTAAGTCTGTTTCAGCTGTAACTCTAGATTCTCCTGTTTCTCCAGATTTTTGGGTGGTAATCTGCCCTGGGATCTCACTTTTTCGAGGAATCCAATAAAAGTTCCTAACATTCGCTTTGTTAAGCCTTTTCTTTTCATAAGGTTAAGAGTAGAAACTTCCACACTCTCTACATTTTAAAGCTGAAACTGGAAGTTCTAGCAGTCTTACTTTTTTAAAAGAAATTAGCTCTAACTTTACCATGCACTGTGCCCATTCCAATTTACCAGGGAATGTATAATTTTGTAACAAAGAAAATTACCACAGTATCACATAACTTCACTTTCCCAGAATACCTAAAAGACTTCACTTTTCCTTCTGATAGTAGGAATGGGTTTTCATCTTTATTAGATTAATATGTCTTTGGGGGAATAAAATAATCGTCTACAAAACGGAAAACTAGATGTAAACATGCAGTGCTTAAAATTGACACTGAATGTACGATCGGGCTGACCAATATTAACTATGACAGCACAGGAAAGATGAGGAGGGACAAAAACCAGCGACTAGAAACATTTCCTGGTGTGCAACAGACATGAGAGGGGAAGCGGCTCAGTCATGTTGGCAGATGAGCTCTCCAAAGAATCTGATAAAAAAGGAACAGCAGTTCAGTCAGTATCAGAGATTCCAACCCAGTTTACTGTTTTGTGTGAAGTTAGATGAGCAGCAGGTGATTTCACCAATGGCATGAAGGAAGACCAGCCTCAGGGCTCCACACAGGGTTAAGGTTCAGGCCCAGAATTCAGTCTGGATTGCAGGGGAAGCATTTATTTAGTGTGAGGCACATCCACATTGTAGAAAGGCTTGGAGACCAGAAAACATTTTAGCTCAGGACAAGTAGGCAGAAAAGCAAATCTGAGAGTTGGATAAATAGACTCAGCTCCACTTAAATCAAATCCTATGCTTTTCAGCGAGATATAACAAATGTCTTCCACATATGGCTACAATTAATCATGGAAATGGTGTGAGACTCATCTCATAAATATTAGATCATGTGGCCCCAGGGATAAAAAAAAAATAAGACTATAGAGACTGAGGAATAGTGCCTGGTAATAAATATGAATAGGTGTTTTTACGCCTTTCACTGTATCGGTTCAGAGAAAGAGAGAGAGAGTTGCCTTTTTCCTAACATTATTTTGTCATCTGATGTGTCTTTTGGCTCTTTGTACTATGTTTTAATATGACTCAGCAAGCTACCTTAGTGAAAAGACAGCTGACCAGGCGTGATGGCTCTCGCCTGTAATCCCAGCACTTTGGGAGGCCAAGGCGGGCAGATCACTTGAGGTCAGGGATTGGAGACCAGCCTGGTCAATGTGGTGAAACCCCATCTCTATTAAAAATACCAAAATTATCTGGGTAGGGTGTCGCGTGCCTGTGGTTCCAGCTACTCGGGAGGATGAAGCAGGAGAATTGCTTGAACCAGGGAGGCAGAGGTTGCCGTGAGCTGAGATGGCGCCCTTGCACTTCAGCCTGGGCGACACAGTGAGACTCCGTCTCAGAAAAAAAGACAGGTATTTTTTCCCCAAGGTCGCAAAGGCTCATAAATCCATGACTTCATGTAAGAAATACCTTTTTTTCTAAAAAACTTGCAGTGTCGTGTGCACAAACTCTAAAATTGTAAAGTTTAAAATTTAACAAAGGGAAACATTTTACATTTAAGAGGACTGGCCAGGCGCAGTGGCTCGCGCCTGTAATCCCAGCACTTTGGGAGGTCGAGGCGGGTGGATCACCTGATGTCAGGAGTTCGAGACCAGCCTGACCAACATGGAGAAACCCCATCTCTACTAAAAATACAAAATTAGCCAGGCATGGTGGCACATGCCTGTGATCCCAGCTACTTGGGAGGTTGAGGCAGGAGAATTGCTTGAACCTGGGAGGCAGAGGTTGTGGGGAGCTGAGATCTTGCCACTGCACTCCAGCCTGGGCAACAAAAGCAAAACTCTGTCTCAAAAAAAAAAAAAAAAATCCATTTTGTAGGAAAAAAAGCAAAATATTGAAATTTATTGAAGAGTTTAAGTTAGAAAGCATTGATCTGAGGAAACAATTGCATTTTCTTTCATTTAGGAATCACCTAATTAAAAATAATACCTAACTAATAATTCAAATTAAAACTAGTACCAATGGAACATATTTTATCCGAGATCAAACTCAGACAAGAAAAGAACTAGAAATAGCATCCACATCCTAATTTATCTTCTTCCAAAAATTTTAAAGTGAAAATAAAACTTCACAGCAATATAACATGACCAAGCTGATTTGAATGAATTTACTGATCAAATGAAATCAAATCAACTGATTTTCTCAATGAAAAAAATTATTTTATTTTTTCAAAGTAAGAGAAAAAATTATTTAATCCTTTCTTATGAATTAGGTCTTATATGCTACTGTATGCTTTTATATATTTTATTTCAGATGATTTTCACAAAAATCTTGAAAAATAAGTATTATTCCCATTTTACAGACAAAATAACTGATTTTGATTGCAAAGCTTCTTCTCAATTTTATACAGAAAGTGAGGTAAAGCAGGTTTATATATTCAAATCTAACTGCTTGAATATAAAGTCTTCTCTTGGTCTTAATAAAATATTACTTTCAAAGAAACCAGGGACTAATACCATTAGCAAAGTAACCAAAGTAAATCAAGTTAATCTGCATAGCATCCCCAAAACATCTTTTTCAAATTCATGAATAATGAATACTCAGAAACAGATTAAAATGACATGTAAAATTAACAATGACAGACAACCTAATTCAAGCATAAAATAAAAAGGACATTATATTATGGTAGATTAAGCTGCTTTAAGGCAAACTTAGTCAATTTCAACTCATGTACAATCCACTTTAAAAAATGACTGAAAAGATTATAACAATGTTTTAAAAGTACCTATAAATAAAAAAAGATATTAACATCTAAAAATCTGTAATTTAAAAAATATTTTATTGATACGTAATAGTACATACACATGGGGTACATTTGACATTTTGTGACATGTATACAATGTGTGATGATCAAGTCAAGTCATGATATCAATCGCCATGAGCATTTATCATTTCTATGCATTGCGAACATTTCAAGTCCTCACTTCCAGCTATTTTGAAATGTGCAATGTATTGTTGTTAGCTATAGTCACCCTACTCTACTATGAAACACTAGAACATATTCATTCTATCTAACTGTGTGTTTGTACCCATTAACCAACCTCTCTTTATCCCCCCTCCACATATCCACATTCTTCCTGGCTTGTGGTAACTATCATCATACTCTCAACCTCCACGAAATCTACATTTTTAGCTCCCGTATATGAATAACTACATGTGATATTTGTCTTTCTATGTCTAGCTTATTTCACTTAACACAATGACTTCTAGTTCTCTGAAAACCCCATATTGTTGCATACCATGGTTTCATTCTTTTGTGTGGACAAAATAGTATTCCTTTGTGTAAATATACCACATTTTCTTTATCCATTCATCCATTGGACACTGAGATTGATCCCATATCTTTGTTATTGTGAATAGTGCTGCAAAAACGTGGAGTGCATACATCCCTCTGATATACTGATGTCCTTTCGTTTGGATGAATATTCAGTAGTGGGACTGTTGAATTGTGTGGTCATTCTATTTTTAGTTTTTTTTTTTGAGAAACCTCCATACTGTTTTCTATAATGGCTGTACTAAGCTACATTCCCACCAAAGTGTATGAGAGTTCTCATTTCTCTGCATCCTTGCCAGCGTCTGATATTTTTTTGTTTTTGATGATAGCTATTCTAATTGGGCTAAATTGACATCTCACTGTGGTTCTGATTTGCATTCCTCTGATGATCAGTGACACTGAGCATGTTTTATATACTTGTTGGCCATCTCTATGTCTTTTTTTGAGACATATCTATTTATATCCTTTGTTCATTTTCATTAGAATTGTTTATTTGCTTGTTTTGTTGTTGACTGCTTTGAGTTCTGTAAACATTCTGATGAAGAGTTTGCAAATATTTTATCCCATTCAACAGGTTGTCTCTTCGCTCTATGGATGGTTTCCTTTGGTGTGCAGATTTTCAGTTTAAATAAGACTCATTTGTCTATTGTTGTTTTTGTTGTATATGCTTCTGGGGTCTTATTGGCCACAAAATTTTTGCCTAGACCAATGTCCTGGTCCTGTAGTGCTTCTGCTATGTTATCTTCTAGTAGTTTTACAGTTTTGGGTCTTACATTTAAGTCTTTAATCCATTTTTATTTGGCTTTTTATATGGTGAGAGATAGGGGTCTAGATAAACATTTCTGTATATAGATAACCAGTTTTCCCAACCACCAAAAGCAGTCCTCAGATTCAGTGCAATTCCTATCAAAATACCAATGATATTTTTCACAGAAATAGACAAAAACACCCTAAAATTTATATAAAACCAAAAAACTGTCTGAATAGCCAAAGCAATCCTGAGGAAAGAGAATAAAGCTAGAATCAGCACACAGCCTAACTTCAAAATTTATTACAATGTGATAGTAACCAAAACAGCAAGGAATTGGTAGAAAAAGCCACATAGACCAATGGACCAGCATAGAGAACCCAGAAATAAGTCCATGTATTTACAGCCAATTAATTTTTAACAAAGGCTCCAAGAACATGCTTTAGAGAAAGGACAACCTCTTCAATAAATGGTGCTGACAAGCTGCAATATTAATAGTGCATTATATTAACAGCATATTATATTAATATCTTTAAAAGATTACTAAATTTAAAAAATGATTCCTCTACATTGCTAAAAGTTCAATACAGGAATATTTATTATATCTTCATGGTAATATAGAAATTATTGCAAGATCTATTAGAAACCCAAGAAAAAAATGGATGTAAATATAGTTCTCAAGAGCAAATCCACGTTTCTCACTGTCCCATTTGGAATAGAATTGTCGCAAGCCATGGCATCAGCTAACACCTGTGTCCTTGACATCTACCTCTCAAAGAGTATAAGGCTCTTAAAAGAAAAAACAGATACTATACCATAATACCTTACTTTATGTGTGTTTACTGCACTGATATTTAAACAGCAAAAACATAAGGAAGAGGGAGAGAAGAAGGAAAAGGAGAAAAGAAAGCTGAAGACAATAAGACATTTACTAAAGACTTTATGGTGAATCCATACAAATTTGCACTATGTATCCATTTAGAAGATAATACAGAGATAGTCATTCATTAATCAGAAAGGCTGTTCCTAGTGTACATGGAACAATAAACAAAAATTATATACGTGGATAAATATATGAATAAAATACGTTTAAAATTATGTACAGTATATATACTTTTATAATTATGTTATCCTGAACATTATATTTTTTCAAAGAAGACAAACTATCTGTATAATTTAAAAATAATTAAAGTGAATACAATGTTGAACTATAGGATGAAAATTAAAAACTCAGAGTCCCTGGGAGTGTCAGGCCATTGTTATACATCCCACCATTTGGGGAACTCACCTATTTAGAGAGCTCCTGTGTCACTAGTGAATTTTAATTGTACTTCCCCCTAAATTTGGTATGCCAATTAAGGAGAAAAGTGATATCTCAGCTTGTAATTTCTAGTAATGCTTCTAAAGTCATACATCTCCCCAGTTATACTTTATTTGGAAAAATCTAGCTTAAAACATAGGAAACATAGTTATACTTAATTTGGAAAATACTGACACTGGATCATTGAATGACAGCTCACTGACCAGTTCATGTCATATCTCAATGTCACGGAGGACTGAAGCTAGGAGCTGACCTTCTGCACATCTCTCTAAACATTTCCTGTCTGTGCCACCGTGAGCTTTTAATAACCACACCGAGAGGGGAAGAGCAGGTCACCGATGCCCTTTGTGTGTTTGTTCCTTGGGAAAGGATTTCACAGCAGGCACGTGAAAGTGGTGATTTACTGTCCATTAAAAGGTGCTAATAAGCAGAAAGAAAAAAGTGCACCCAGTGCCTGCCCTGGCCCCTCAGCCCCGGATGTCTGCACTGTGTAGGTGCTGGGAGCTAATGAACCTTTTTATATTGCCAGTCATAAAAAGGGCCAATGGCTCTCTCTGCAGTAATGGACTCTACAGTGAAACCTGCCTAACGGGCTTCATGAGGAGCTATGAAAAAATCAATTGCCACATTGAGGTCAGTGTCACATGGCTTTGCAGCAGGATAATCTAGTAGAGGTCAATCCACGGCTATTTCATGAAAATTAAAAATTGGCTTTAAAACTGTGTGTTCCCCTTAATTTTAAAAGAAGAAAAAATACACATTTCCCAGTCAATCAGTCATGGCTGTCTATATCACAAGTCAAAAACAGTAAGAAATAAAAGGACAGCAGAAATAAATAAGGAAGTTAATGATTGTTTTGTTCCCGTCTGTATAAAAACAATAATAATTTATATTTGCATGGTACTTTCAAGTCACTGATCATTTTTTAACAGCCTTGTGAGGTAGGAATTGTTATCTTTGTTTTACACTTGAAGCTCAAATCATTCAGCCAGGGCTGAACCTAGATTTAAACTCAGCTCTGTTATTTCTAACTCTAACTAAGGTGTTTTTATCTTTTCTCTTTTTTTCCCCTTCTCTCATTTCAAGTACATGGTCCAAACAATATGCTCCTTTGTCTCAGGAAACATTTATGGCAGGAAAAAAAAATTAGGTGCTTGGAATCAAAGGCCTTCCTTTTCCTTGGTCCCCTCTTTGTTTCCTTCCTTCCTTTTGCTTTTTCTTAAAGCCCAGTCCCATTAAGATGACTTTGTCCCAGAGAGAGGGAGAGGTCAGGAACAACCCTGGAAGCAGAAAAAGCAGAAAATCAGAGATTTTCCTGAGACCGGGAAAGTGTTCTGGCTAAGGCAACCTTAGCAGCATCGATGCCAATGTTTTGGAATTAAAGATATGGTTAAAAAGAGAAGTGTTGGCAAAAGGTGTCACAGAAGCTGAATAAATAAATAAATAAAGCAAACAAACCAACAAAGAAATAGAAGCAGTTATTGGAAGTAATAACGAAGTGGGCTGAAAAACGAAAAAGTCCACATCCTCATTCCCAGAACGTGTGGATATGACCTCACATGGCCTCACAGATCTGATTAAACCAAGGATATTGAGATGCAAGTTTATTCTGGATGATCTCCGTGGTTCCTAAATATAATCACATGTGTCAGTCTAAGAGGGAGGAAAAGAAGATTTGGGTATAGAAGAAGAGATGTGGACATGGGAACCAGAGGATGAAGTCACGTCAGGGAGGGGTCACAGCCCTCAGGTAGACAGCAGCAATATCGCGGTGATGGTGACAGACACCTTGAGGAACAGGCAAGGCTGTGCGAATGCTGAAGTATGAGAATTTATGCTCCAAACACGTGACCTTTACAAGCACTACATAAAAATCTCGGCTGTCAAAATTGCTGATACAAGGATTTATGTTGGAATTGTTACGTTTTTCTTGTAGAGTTGACCCTTTATCATTATGTAATGTCTATTTCTATCCCTGACGATAGTCCTCATTTTGTAGACTATTTCATTTCAAATTGATATGACTAATCTAGCTTTATTTTGTATCCTTTTTGGGGTTTCTGTTTTGTTTTGGTTTTGATTTTTGGTTTTGCTGTGTCCTCATATGAGACAGAAAGTGTGTGTGTGTGGTGTCTGTGTGTGTCTCAAAGAGAAAGAGAGAGCCTTCAAGCTCTTCTTAAGAACTAATCCCATTATGGCCCCCTTCCCCAATGACTTCATCTCACCCTAATCACCTCACAAAGGCCCACCTCTAATTACCGTCACACTGGGTATTAGAGCTTTGCCAACATATGAATTTTGTGAGAACACAGTCAATCCGCAAAACATAATAGCTTTTCAAAAATTTCACATCTGATATTTCCAGCATTTCTGTCACATCTGAGATGGATTCTGATGATTGTTGTATCTCCTCAGACTGTGTTTTTGCTTGCCTGTTGTTGCGCCTCATAACTTTTTGCCTCCAACTGGGCACGTTTTGTCACACAATAGCTACTGAAGCATTTTTTTTTAATGCTTAGATATAAGCACGTCTTTTCTTATGAGTTACATCTTTCTGCTTAGCATTAGCCATTTCCTTTGCTCTGCTATCGAGAGAAACTGTCCCTGCAGCTCTTCCAGCTCTATTCCGCGCGATTTATTCTTAACACTTCTTTGGGTGGTACTAGACTATGCAGAGGCGGCATTTTCTGGTGTTCTGTTGAAGTCTCACTCTTAAGCAGATGCTGTGATTCTGGGTCTGAGGGTGTGGTCTTCACAAGCATTATAGCCCTCAGGTTTAAGTGGGGCTGCCAAGTATTTCTCCCCATCACCCAGGGGTAGAGCATTTGTTATCTTTTTCTCTTTACCCCACCTTCAGTGGGATTTCCACCGGTGTCCTCAATCCACCGTTTTATTGCTTTTTTTTCCCCGCAGATTGAAAATGTTTCTTAGGAGAGAAGACAGAGATGGCTCTGGGCAGAATTTCTGTGGTGGTGAACATTCCCTTTCCGCAAACTGCACCAGGAGGAAGCTTTCCAGGGATTCTCCTTGATGTTCCCCTTGAGTATTTGGAGAGGCTTCTGAGAAATGCTTTGTGAAAAGGAAAGTGTGCAAAGTGCGCCTGTGAAAGTGTAAATCCCCTCCCCCACATCCGTGACCTACAGGATTTTCATCATCTCAGGATAATCCACACTCAGCTTTAGCAACTCATTGAGAGCTTCTGTCTGCATCTTCTGACCAACTTATTTCACTGACATCTGTTCCAGTTGAGCAAATTTTGGGGTTCTGTTTGTCCCTGTGACTTCAGATCTCTGATGAATTCAAGAGAAGGTATTATTTGACCAGGGTTTTTAATGTTCTGCTGGCAGGAACAATGCCCTTGCTAATAGCACTCAATTGATCAGGACCCTCTCACTAGCAAATACCATCAGCCCCCCTCCCTTCTTGGAGTTGCCTCCTTGCTGATGCACTGACTTGACAACAACAAATGTAAGTTGGCTAAATTGTTACCAAAATATTTTGTTTTAAATGTTATCTAGTTAAAGCAAAGGGCATCCTGTTTCTCAAAAATTATTAATTTGAATGAGAAAGACAAAAATAGTTTTTGTTTTGTTTTAATTCTGAGTCACATATCAAATTAAGGCTACCCGACTACAGATTCAACAAAAGCCAAATCCTGTTTTATGATGTTTGGTAACACACTGTTAAACAACTGCTCATTTGATAATGATTGTCCTTAAAACCCTTAACACCTAATGATAGAAAATTGTTGATCTTATACTGACCATTATGTAAAAATTATTCCTTTTTTATACTGATTTTATTCCTTCAAGAAATTTGTGCACCATATGTTAAGATAATGTCCCAGTGCACAAAGCAGTGCCCTATATGCCAACACAAATGAATTTGTCTCCAAAGAGGGGGCAAGAGATTCTTCACATTGGTTTCTGCTCTAAATAAATTTATTTCTGAGGAAAACTGAATCCCATTTGAAAAACTAGCTAATAAGTTTAACGCAAACAGGAAACAAATGTTTGTTTCCCATTGATGTTATCTCAAGGAGTTGAATTAATTATAAACTATGTATTACTCTATGTGCAGGGTTATTATTTTCTGTGTTAGGTTATAATAAAAGGTTCAATAAATTGGAATTTCAACAAATAAGGTTTCTAATCTCGCCTCTGTCGCTGAGTTGCTGAGACAAAGAGTTGTACTCAATCTTCCTTAAGATTCATTTTGACTCTAGACGTGATTCTAAATAGGTAAACTAACTAATAAAACCACTTATGATACACTTCATGCTGTGTCCGGAATTGGTGGGTTCTTGGTCTCACTGACTTCAAGAATGAAGCTCTTAAGGTAGCGCATCTAGAGTTGTTCATTCCTCCCAGTGGGTTCGTGGTCTCGCTGGCCTCAGAAGGGAAGCTGCAGACCTTCCCAGTGAGTGTTATAGCTCATAAAGTCGGTGCAAACCCAAAGAGTGACTAGCAGCAACATTTATTACAAAGAACAATCCCAGAAAACGACCCCATCGTGTTGCCACTTCTGGCTCCGGCAGCCTGCTTTTATTCCCTTATCTGGGCCCACCCACATCCTGCTGATTGGTCCATTTTACAGAGAGCTGATTGGTCTGTTTTACAGAGAGCTGATTGGTCCGTTTTGACAGGGTGCTGATTGGTGCGTTTACAATCCCTGAGCCAGACACAAAAGTTCTCCAAGTCCCCACTAGATTAGCTAGACGCAGAGCACTGATTGGTGCATTTACACTCCTTGAGCTAGACACAGTGTGCTGATTGGTGTATTTACAATCCTTTAGCTAGACATAAAGGTTCTCCAAGTCCCCACGAGATTAGCTAGATAGAGTGCCGATTGGTGCATTTGCAAACCTTGAGCTAGACACAGAGTGCTGATTGGTGTATTTACAATCCCTTAGCTAGACATAAAGGTTCTCCTAATCCCCACTAGACTCAGGAGCCCAGCTGGTTTCACCTAGTGGATGCCGCACAGGGCCGCAGGCCGAGCTGCCTGCCAGTCCCATGCAGTGTGCCTGCACTCCTCAGCCCTTGGGCTGTCCATGGGACCAGTCGCCGTGGATCAGGGGGCGGCGCTCGTTGGGGAGGCTCGGGCTGCGCAGTAGCCCAGGGCGGGAGGAGGCTCGGGCATGGCAGGAGGCAGGTCCCAAGCCCTGCCCGTCAGGGAGGCAGCTGAGGCCCAGCAAGAATTTGAGCACAGCGCTGGCGGGCCAGCACTGCTGGGGGACCTGGCGCACCCTCCGCAGCTGCTGGCCCTGGTACTAAGCCCCTCACTGCCCGGGGCCACTGCCCACCCGGAACTCGTGCTGGCCCGCGAGCGCTGGGGGTTCCTGCTGGCGCCTCTCCCTCCACACCTCCCTGCAAGCAGAGGGAGCCGGCTTCGGCCTCAGCCAGCCCAGAGAGGGGCTGCCACAGTGCACTGGCGGGCTGAAGGGCTCCTCAAGCGCGGCCAGAGTGGGCACCGAGGCGAGGAGGCACCGAGAGTGAGCAAAGGCTGCGAGGACTGCCAACACACTGTCACCTCTCAATGCTGAATATTGTCATGACAATAGGGCTATGGGTGAGACTAAGAGCACAATTTCTGCTAATAGCTAATGCCAGCAAAGCTGAGCATCAGCAAGTAAATGAGGCAACGTGGAAAATATGAAATTAGTTTAAAATACATGAAAATAAAATTATAAAATAAAATAAATGATATTATTGAATGCTCATGAAGGACTTTAACCAAATAAAATGAAGAAGTGACACACTTCATGGTTGTTTCCCCAAAGTTTATTTTTAAATGAGATTTTAACTTTAGAACAATTTTAGATTTACAGAAAATTATAAAAATATACAGATTTTTCGTATACCTGCATCCAGTTTCTCTTATTGACATCTTAGTATGGTACATATTTTGCAATTACTGGACTGACATTAATGGATTATTAATAAGTAATAAGTGTATTAATAATCAATAATTAATATCAGTATTTTATTATTAACTAAAGGCCATATTTTATCTGACTCCCGTAGTTTTGCCTGATTTCCTTTTTCTGTCCCAGTACCCATGCAGGATGTCACATTACATTTAGTTGTCATATCTCCTTGGCCGTGACAGTTTCTCAGGCCTTCCTTGTTTTTGATGTTCTTGACGATTTTGAAAAATACTGGTCAAGTATTGTGCACAGTGTCCCTCCATTGGGATTTGTCTGAGGTTTCCTCATCATTTTACTGGCATTGTGGGTTGGGGAGGGGAAGGCTACAGTGATAAAGTGCCAATCTAGTCACATCGTGTCACGGGTACATGCTATCCACGTGACTCATCACTGCTGATGTTGGCCTCCATCATCTGGCGGCAGTAGTGTTTGTCAGGTCTCTCCACTTTAGGGTTACTCTTTTTCCCTGTTTTCAGAGCGTATGCTTTGGAAGAAAATAACTGCGTAGCCAAGATTTAAGCAGCAAGGAGCTATGCTCTGCCCCCTTGAGGGCGTATTTCCAATGGTTTACCGCTGGAGACCATGTTTTTGGTGTTGGAAGATTCCCGGACTCTGTCATCCAGAATCAGAGTTATTTTCTACCGCTAATAGTGAAAGTATCTCATCTCATCACTAAAATAAACCTGGTTTTCATGTTTTATCATCTTTCCGAGATGCAATAGAGAATCTGTTGATGTTTGAAAGGAGAAATGAGAATCGCATGCATATAGAATTTTATGGTCAGTTAGGCGACTACTTGAGAGAAGGAACGTGGCATTATACCCCAGCCCTAAGGAGCTAAAAATGTGGCCTGCTATTGACGATAAAGGCAGAGTCCATTTCAAATCTCAAAAGCAAGCACATGGAAACTACCTCTTTGCTTAGTGTTTTCAGTGTTGTTTCAATGGGCTTTCGGATATCAGTAATATTTTGTTCTAAAATGAAAGAACAGAACAATTCAATATTAATCTAATCTGAGACTGGTCATGCTTCACCATATGGGACTCCTTACTTGTATTTTTAGAATGTGATGTGGATATTTGATAAAAGCTAAGGCAAGTAAACCCAATTTATAAGTCTTGAAGGCCTACACTGCTGGGGTGATAAAATTAATCCACATAAATGTTCTAAGACAAAAAAGAAGACACATCCCTTCAGGAACAGATCATGAGAGGCCAAACCCTAATGCATATAGCAAAGCATTTATAATGTTATTCTGCTTTTCCTATAGTGGTTAATTAATTCAAAGTACACTTAAAAGATTAAACATGTAGCATTTTCTTCTTGAATTACTACCTACCTTCCTCAGTTCTAAAATGCTGTGAAATATTAAACACATTTATCTAATAATAGCTTTATCAGGGAGAAGGGAACTAGTAATTAAAATTACATATCTATATTTCATTCATTTTAAAGAAAAAATTGATCGTAAAATTTGAATTTTTTTAAATTTTAATTGTCACAATGTGTCACAATTATTTCTTAATTTCTCCTAACAATGGCATTGTTTAAAGATAAATATGTAACCTCTAGGAAACAATCAACATATTTTAGTTAAATTATTTGCTTCATAATTTACATTTCCTCACGAAAGTATAACAAATCTAGAATAAATGATAACCTAAATTTTAAAAATATATAATATTTTAATGAACAAAGTAATTTCCATGTTTTGGTATTTTGTTCTGTTTTAAAGCTCTTGGAATAACATTTTTGTCTATTTGAAATATTTTGGTGAGGTTTGATGTGACATATTTTATACTTGGTAAAATATACCTCTTTAGGTATATTTAGGTATATTTAGGTATATTTGGGTATTAGGTATATTTGGGTATAAGGTATATTTGGGCTGACCCCAGCCCCGTGGCAGTCTAGCTCTGCCTTGTGTCTGTGCTGGCTCTTGGGCAGTAGGGATCTTCCTCCCCTGACCCCAGAACCAGCAGGTACTTCCCTTGTGTTGTTGCATAACCCTGGTCCTCGGAGATTTCCCTCCCTCCTCTCCCAGGGTTAGAGGTCTTTCGATTCTACCTTCCTCCCCGCTAGGGAAATCCTTGCTTGGGGCCTGGGGCAGGGAGGGTTTTACCCCCGTTCACAGCTGCAGATGTCTTTCACTTGAAGTCCTTTTGCAGAAGCAGAGAACTTGGCATGGGATCTGGAGGTTGGAGGTTTAGCTGGACAGCCCCTTAAAGTTTTCACTCCATGTAAAAAAGGCTCTGGGGAAGTGGGTGATGCTTCTCAGTCGCCCAGCAGAAGCAATGATGGCCAGTTGATGAGTAAGGACAAATGTACACAGTTGTGTAATGACCATTAATATATAGAACCATCCTAGAGCCTATGAGTATTTATGTGCAAGTCTTTGTGGAAGCATAAGCTTTCATTTCTACTGGGCATATATTTAGGAGTAAAATTGGTGGGTCAATTAAATTTAAGAAAATTATTAATATGGTTGGAATAAAATCTATGACTTTGCTTTGTTTTCTATTTCCCCATCTATTCTTGGTTACCTTTTCTTCTTTATCTATATTGTTTTAGATTGAATGAATATTTTATGATTTCATTTTATCTCTAGTGGTGGATATAACGTATGAAAAATATGTGTTCACTTACCACAGTCCAACTTCAAATAATATTACACCACTTCACAAAGAGAATAAGAAGTTTACATTTTACTTCAATTTCCTCTCCCATGCTTTGTGCTATTGTTTTCACAAATTTTACTTCTAGCTATGACACAAGTGCTTTAATAGATTGTAACTACTTTTATTTAAACAATTATCTTTGAAAGCAGCTAAAGATAACACAAACTATATTTTATGTTTATCTTTATTTTTACTGTTTCTCGTGATTTAGTGTTTAGATTCAAATCCCCACCTGCTTTCATGCTCTTCTGCCTAAATAATTTTCTTAACATTTCTTCTAGTACATGTCTACAGGTAATGGATTATTTCACATTTCATTTCTCATCAATAGTCTACATGTTTCATCTTAATTACTGAAGGATTTTTTAGTGGGTAGAGATTTTTGAGTTGATTGTGTTTATCTCTCCTATGAGTATGTTTAAGATTTGTTCCACTGCCTTTGGTCATCCAGTGTTCCTGATTACAAAACTGCTGTAAGTCTTCCATGCCCCACTGTATGTCAGGCTCCCTTGTGCTTTGACCTCTTATCTTTGGTTTCCTAGAGTTTTCCTATGTTGTGTCCAGTTGCGGAGAGTTTTGTTTTGTTTTGTTTCATTTTTTGTAGGGAGGTTTCTGAGTTTTTTGGATCTGTGGTTCAGATTCTTTCATTAATTTCACAAAGTGTTTACTCACTAACCTTTGTGTACTCTTTTACCTCTCTCCTCCTTTTGGAATTCTAATTCCAATTATGTTAGACAATTTGGATTTGTCACATGACCCTTGGATGCTCCATTCTATTCTTTCATATTATTTTTTCTTTGTAATTCAGCTTGAAAATTTTTATTAACCTAACCTTTAAGTATACTAATTCCTTTTTTTTAATATTCAGCCTACTGGTTAGTCATCAAATAAGTTCTTCCATCTGACATTATGGGGCTTTTTTCTAGTATTTCTATTTTATTCTTATAGTTTTCAATTTTCTGCTAAAATTCTCCATGTATTCATTTGTGTTGAACTATATATTTCTTTCCACTGTATCTTTTAACACAATAAGCATACTTTAAAGTCCCTGTCTAATAGCTCCAATATCTGGGTCTTCTCTGAATCTTGTTCTGTTGATTGCTTTATCTCTTGACACTTGATTTTTTTCTCCATCATTGCTTAATATCCTTCTTATAATTTTTATTGACTCTATGATACTGTATAGATTAAATGGTAGAGACTGAAGTAAATTTTATTCATAGTCAAATATGGGCATATCTCTTCTTCTCTAAGGCCATTATGGTAGATGTTTGGCTCAGTCTCATCAGTTGAGTTGGATGTGCAGGTCACTGTTGCTTTCCTTACCTGCAAAGCACCACAGGATTTAAGTTTGTTCAGCAGTGGATTGCTGCTGCATTGTGCTTAGCAGTTGGGCCTCAGGTGACAGAGGTTTCTTGGTGTTTCAGCTCTATCATCAGCTTTCAGAAGTCCACTCTGATCTTTCCTCCATTTGGGGTAAGCCCTACCCTCAGGAGCTGCGAGCTGCACCTTCTCAGTGTTCTTGACCCCAGCCCCGAGGCAGTCTAGCTCTGCCTTGTGTCTGTGCTGGCTCTTGGGCAGTAGGGATCTTCCTCCCCAACCCCAGAACCAGCAGGTACTTCCCTTGTGTTGTTGCATAACCCTGGTCCTCGGAGATTTCCCTCCCTCCTCTCCCAGGGTTAGAGGTCTCTCGATTCTACCTTCCTCCCCGCTAGGGAAATCCTTGCTTGGGGCCTGGGGCAGGGAGGGTTTTACCCCCGTTCACAGCTGCAGATGTCTTTCACTTGAAGTCCTTTTGCAGAAGCAGAGAAATTGGCATGGGATCTGGAGGTTGGAGGTTTAGCTGGACAGCCCCTTAAAGTTTTCACTCCACGTAAAAAAGGTTCTGGGGAAGTGGGTGATGCTTCTCAGTCGCCCAGCAGAAGCAATGATGGCCAGCATTCCTGCATTGGCCACAGCAGAGGTGCTCCTGTCTCCTGCCCTACTGGGATCTTCCTTGTCGACACCTGATGGAGGTCTATGAGAAAGCATTTGAGAGTAAGCATGGACTCCTCTTACATCCAAAGCTTCCAATTTAAACTGTCATATTTGGCATTTAGGAATTTGTTAAAATTGCATCTGATTTCTTCTTATCCACATATAAGTTGGTCCCCTCTTTCTCCCATGCTCTGCCAGTGCACCCTGGCTGTCCTTGGAAGGTCTCCTCAGGCTTCATAATACAAAATACTTGGCACTCTGATGGGTTCAAGGAAAGGTACATTTGTAGATTTTATGACTTAAGTCTAATTCTTAGGGTGAGAGTGGCATTCTCTTGAAGCTTTCTGCTAAGCAGAAGCATAGCTCCTTCTCTGTTTTGCCCTGGTTGTAGTTATTGTCAAGGATGAAACAGAGGACTCAGTGCCCCCTTGCATATTTCACATGCAGCATCTTCAGATTCTTCTACCTAGGGCTTTTAAACCACAGACTCTTAGAGAAATAATTGTTTCAATATTCAAAGGGAAAGCTACAGGTAGCATTTATTTTGTAGTAACTAAAGGGAATAGAAGTCCTCTGATATCTGAAGTCATATTTAACAATGCATTTCTAAACCACAATAATATCACAGCTGGTCTGACTCTGGCTATGAGAAAGTCCCATCAAGTTATAAAGAGTTTAAAAAGTTGCATTTAATATATAACAATAGGAAATAAATTTATTTTTTGCTCACTATACTCCCTAAATCCTCTTTAAACAGTTTCCTAATTTCTCACCCCTGAATCTCAATCAGTAAATCTCAATCAGATCACTTAGCCATGCAGGATCCTCCTGGTTTTCATCAAGTTCAATCTGGCATAACAAGTTCACAGCTCTAAAATCCACTCATGATTAAGTTTCTCTACTTTCCCCAGCTTGGGTCTACTTTGGGCTTAAAAGCCATTTGTGTGGTCAGGAGTGGTGGCTCATGCCTGTAATCCCAGCACTTTCGGAGACCGAGGTAGGCAGATCACCTGAGGTCAGGAGTTTGAGACTAGCCTGGCCAACATGGTGAAACCCCATCTCTACTAAAAATACAAAAATTGGCTGGGAGTGGTGGCTCACTCCTGTAATCCCAGCACTTTGGGAGGCTGAGGCAGGCGGATCATGAGGTCAGGAGTTCAAGACCAGCCTGACCAATAAACTGAAACCCCGTCTCTACTAAAAATACAAAAATTAGCCAGGCGTGGTGGCGGGTGCCTGTAGTCCCAGCTACGTGGGAGGCTGAGGTAGGAGAATCTCTTGAACCTGGGAGGTGGAGGTTGCAATGAGCCAAGATCATGCCATTGCACTTCAGCCTGGGCGACAAGAACGAAGCTCCACCTCAAAAGAAAAAAAAAAAAAAGATTTGTGGAACATGTCTTCATTTCCCTTTTCAATCCTAGCCACCTGTTCTACACCTTGCTGCTTGTTTTCTTGGACCACTCAAGGCCAGGGTGAAGGGGAGAGGAGATTACAGTAGTGTGATGGCTGTAACTCCAAAGAACAAAAAGGACTGTTTCTCAGTGCTTGCTGATTTCAGTGGCATAAGTATACCAGCAATGGCTGATTTTGTGCTACAAATGAGACATCACTAAATAAGGGAGGAAAATAATGCACACAGTCACCTCTCCTGAGCTCCAACACACACTGGATCGAAGGAAACATATCATTTCCCTTGTCCAGGGCAGATGTAATCTGCTGGTGGTGCATTGTACACGGAAGCAGCATGATTTTGAAACTTGTGTGGATCCTTGAGATTCCCTCCCTCAGCATCATGAACAATGCTCCTTCCCAGCTTATGACTCCCCTCTCATGGGCTTCAATTGTTCCACCATTTTTCCTCCCCAAGTGGTACAAATGAGCAGTATTTATCCACTGCGTCCAAAAAGCATGCATCACTGGTGGACAAGCAGCTTGCTCACAATGCCACCCTATTTATTCAGCCCTCCCATGATGACTGGCCAGACATGCACCGTCGTTCATGTTTAGTCTCTTCAGGACTGAGTCAACTACCATTTCTCAAATAAACAGAAAATTACCCACTCCCTTCCTGCAAGGAAAATGTGGGGAATAAATGATATGCTGACATTTCTCTCAAGGAGATGCTCATTGCCAGTTCATTGACGGGACACTTTACATAGCCTGGAGGTGAATAATAGGCTAATCCTGGCAACATCAGCACCCAGGCTCTCAGAATTTCTTGAATAGATAGTTCATCATCTTTACTTGGGACCTGAGGGATACCTGGCAGTTCTTATATTGCTATTTCATTTTGAGGGCTTCATAAAAACCAAACAGAAAGAGTCCTATTTTAACACTCATTCTAAGTCCTATGGCATTATATTTCAGTTTAAATGCATACAGAAGAAAAGTTAACTGAGATATACATAAAGAAAAACTATAAGCCATTTTTGTAAAGATATCATCCAGAAAGTATTTTGAAGGCAATAGCTTTAGAATGCGAAGCACACACGCTGTGCTATTCCTTGCTAACAAATGTATTTTACAGATGTTAAATGAGAAATAATTGCCTTAAATGGTGAAGTTTTTTAATTTTCCTTTTTTTTTTCCAATTCATGACAAAGTGGTAAATGTGAGGCTCAGTGGAGAGGACTGAGAAATATCAAGTTCTGAATATTAATAGAAACCTCTCTCATGAATAGATTTATACTGTAGCCCTAAACATGTTGCTATCTCTCATTTGTTTCATTTTCTTTATCTGTAAAATGCAGGTAACTGAAGAGAATAATTCACCAAAAGACTATCTAAGAAATTAAATAAGAAGATTAAGATTTGTTACTTCACCTACTCTCATTCTCTTTCTCAACCTCCCCTTTTCCTCTCTCCTTGCTTTTACCTCTAAACTTGTCCTCAACTAGTTTGTTTTCTCATATTTGCTTTTTCCATCTATTTTTAACCCCAGTTGCTGTCTGCTTGCTTCCCATTTCTATGGGAATTCCTCTCGCATCCACATGAGCCATCTGCCGAACCTTCATCTTCCTTGACCTGTCTTCATTACCTGATACGGAGTCATCTCCTTCCTCCTGATACTTTGTCTCCTTTGCATTGGCACTACATTCTATTTATCTCACTGAGTAAAAATAATAGCTTTGTGACTTCTGCTCTTCAGTCTCATTACTGGATTTTTCTGTATCTCACTTTTCTCATCATTAAAGGGGAAATAATAATAGTACCTTACTCAGAGATGTTTGCTGAACATTTAATAAATTGCTCTATGGAAAGAACTGAGAACAGTGCCTTTCCTACAGCCAAAGTCACATACATGCATACTCACTCATGTTTTCACCAAGACAAGAGTAAAAAATGTCCTGCGACAATAGCTAATATTAATAGAATGTTTCTTCCATGCTAGTCACAGTCATAAATTCTTCAAAGATAACAATTCACAGACAAATATAAGCAATATAATTTAATTGTCACCATGTTACTGGAAAAGAGGTCTCTACCCAGACTCCAAGAGTGAGTTCTTGGATCCTTGTACAGAAACAGATCTGGAGTGAGTCACAGAGCAGAGTGAAGTTACGATGGTTTGAGGCATCTCCACTATAGGGTAGGGTGTCCTCAGAAAGCAAGAGCAGGAATGCCCCTTCCTCAAACATAATTCTTGCTTCTATAGGAGAGTAGGGTGAGGAATAGTGTGCCGTATGACAAAGGCTGTGATCAGCTTGTGACAGGCTGTCAGTATTGTCATATTCTTATGTAACTATTGGTTTCAGCAAGAATTTATGGGTGTACTGTTATCTTCAAAGTGAAACCTATTCTTAAACCAGGAATGCTTTTTGTTCTAAGGGGCTTTATTTAGTTGGTTAGCATCATTAACTTGTTCCCTCAACCATAAATATCCTGTGACTAAGAAAGCCTGACTTCCCAGGAATGTAACCCGGCAGGTCTGGTGTTGCTTGAGCTTTATTCAAGATGGAGTCACTCCGGCTTGGATGCCTCTGACAGCAACAGTGTCAGAAAAGATGTTCAGTTATCACAGTTTTACGGATCAAGAGGCCAGAGCCTATGGCTCACCCAAGGTCTCAATTCCTGGGAAAGACAAAGCTCTGGGGCCTTTAATTTGCCTGACTGCCATTCCAGGGCTCCTTCACAAGCTCTGTTTTCCACACTGCAATGTCTATAACAATGACACTTTTTTCTCTCTAAATATTTCAGATTCCTTTCTGCATTTATTATCTCAGTTGCTGACATTACCAGTCATGCAGTTACAATGTCTGGAAATATCCATGAATACTCAGTCTCCCTTTAGAGTCCTCATTCAATTAATCAGAGAGTCTTATTTATCTAATCTCTGCAATGTCCCTTTACTTCATCCTCTCCTCTGCAGATCTCTGCTGCTACACTGCTCAGACCCTCATAATCTCCTACACATCAAATGGTCTTTCTCCTTTAGCAACTCCACCCTTCCACCCTATTCCTGGAAACTGCTACGACAGTGTTGATTATAAAATATAGATATGATCATATAATTTTTTCCCATTCTGCATGAAACTCCAGCTCATGGTTCTCTCCTGTCTGTAGAGTAAGTTACAATTCTAAAATTGGTGCACTGGCCCCTCACAAACAGCCTAGGTGTGCACAGATGGACTGATACATTGAAACATGACAGAGAGAGAGATTTCTCGATGACACATGTACCAAAAATAAGCAAATTCCTTTTTTGCCACCATAAACAACCCCGTGACCTTTCTTTTCTTAAATTCTTCTTTTTCTTCCTTTCTCTTCTAGAAAAAAATCCCAAATAAGTCTTGATATATAACTCTAAAGTAAACTCCTATAGCTTTCTCTGCAGGACTTTGTCCGTGACCATAGCAGTCATCATCATACTGCAGATTTTAGTGAGACCCCCTCCACCTCACAGGACAAGTCAGTCTTTTTCATTGTTGGGATCCCAGTTCCTAGCTTACTGACTGACTGGCATTTAGCAGACAATAGATATATTTAGCAGACAATAGGTACTTTCAGGTGTCCCTTTGTGGTAGCTTTCATTTTAGGTGCCACTGGAAGAAGAAACAGAGACAGAAGGAGGTAGAAAGTAAAGGGCCCACGCTCTCAGACTGCTTCCTGGCCATTCAGGTGAATGGTTCCAAACAAGTGCTGCAGAGATGTAAGGCCATAAGCATGTTCCAGGAATGTTAATTTGCACAGAGGCATATGCACATTAAATAGGCTTTCCCTTTTAGCAACTCTATCCCTCCACCCTATTCTCCGAACCTGCCACCAGAATGTTGATTATAAAATACAGACATGATTATATAATCCTTCCCCATTCTGCATGAAAATCCAATATGGTTCCCTCCCATCTGTAGAACAAGTTACGATTCCAAAACGAGTGCCTTGGACAATGGCCCCTTTAGTTCCTTCCAATTTCCAGAGATGATGAAGTGAAAGCATCGAGGGAGGGAAGCAATGCTTCACACAGAATTGGTTTCCAGTAAACTGATTACCTCTTCATTTTCCAAAGGGCGTTTTCTCACACGTGCTTTTAGAAAGAATTTGATGTGGCTGGGCACGGTGGCTCACTCCTGTAATCCCAGCACTTTGGGAGGCCAAGGTGGGGTGGATCACCTGAGGTTAGGAGTTCGAGACCAGCCTGACCAACATAGTGAAACCCCGTCTCTACTAAAAATATAAAAACTAGCCCAGTGTGGTGGTGGGCGCCTGTAATCCCAGCTACTCAGGAGGCTGAGGCAGAACTGCTTGAACCTAGGAGACGGAGGTTGCAGTGAGCCGACACGGTGCCACTGCACTCCAGCCTTGGTGACAGAGTGAGATTCCATCTCAAAAAAAAAAAAAAAAACCAATAAAAGAAAGAAAGAATTTGACATTAGTTCAGGATTGCTTCCTCTGAAGCAGCTCTCCAGTACTAGGTACACAGTCACAGGCACACATTCACGTGTGTGTGCACACAAGCACTTCTGCATATGCATGCATGACTGTATATATACACACACATGAACATTCGTAACACAGCACACATGCACCACACATGCACACACAATGAATGCATGCTTACATGTGCATACACACATATTCCCACATTCACACGCATACACAATACATAAAAACTCATACACATACCTGTGCATGCACACACACTCAAACTCACACTCAAACATGCACACTCACATACACACACTCACACATATGTTCTCACATTCACACACATACGCATACATAAAAGCTCATCCATACTCACAGGTGCATGCACATGCACCCACAGAAACTCTCACACTCACATTCACACATGTACACACACATACACACTCACACAGAAACACATATATGCACTCATGCAATACAATTTCTCTCACACACACACACATAGACAAACATGTACACTTCACTGCTATCTGCTTCTGGAAGTGAATTCTTGTCTCTGGACCCAGTGTGAACTGAGTATTAATTCTTTCCTCAACTGGTAAAAAAACGAGCCTCAATATAGAAAGTAAAATTAAAGCTGTGTGTGGTAAATTTTCTTGATATTTGAACATTTTTCTCTCAAAAAGGTGAAATATTTCCATTCCCACACAAACTGTTATTTTCAGGAGAAAATTCTGTTTTCCCACAGAGACAGTGACTCATCTTCTTCAGGTTGGAGTTTATGTTTAGTAAGACGCTTTCCAGAGGCAGCTGGGCAACATGAATTTGTCTATTTCTCCCTGGTATCAACAGCAAGAAAATGTTAGCATTCATTAGTGATTAAGAACTGCGCAATAAACACTGCATGATTAAATGCTACATTGTTCACATATTTTAAAGCAGTCTTCATCTTAGCCACTACTGCAGGTAGCTTCCCTTTTGCCTGTTTAGGCGAGCTTGCCTTTACATCATATGACAGTCTGCCATATAAAATAGTCAAGGGTCTTGTGTCTCTGAGCAAGCCTCAGGAAGTTCTGTGATGTAAAGTTAAACATTGTCAAAGAGGATGTGTGCCTTATGTCCTCCCACCTCTACTCATGAAGCTCACAGTAGCAGACCACAGACCCATTGCTGGTCCATTTTAGGCAAATTAAAAAAAGACACATTTCCCCTAGAGCAGGATTTCTCAGGCTTAGCACCACTGACATTTGCAGTCAGATTATTTTTGTTGGGTGTGGAGAGTGGAGGGCTCTGCTTTGTACACTGTGGGCTGCTAGCAGCATCTTTGGCCTCTTCCTGCTAAATGCCAATAGTAGCTCTCTGCAACTGTGAAAACCGAAAATATCTCTGTACATCTCCTTCTTTAAATAGAATCTATTTATCTTCTGAAAATACATTTTCAGAAGGAGATACAGTGTTATGGCCTTGTCTGTAAACAGACAAAACTCTCATTTGATTCTAGACTAAATATCAGCAATAACCCCCCTCTTTTTTGCATCACGTATGGTACTTTTCCATGATGGTTTCATAATTATGTTCTTATTTTATCTTTACCGCAGTTTGATAAACAGGATATCAAAGAGCAATGCTGTGTATTTTCCATGAATATGATTAGATTGTATTATCTACAATCTTAGATTAATTCTGCATTTCCCATTTAAAGAATATAAAATCATAAAATCTTAAAATACAGAGTATGTCTTATTTTATCAATGAGAACCAAGTCTTTTGAATAAAGCATATATTTATAATATCAAATTTTTCCATACTTCCTGAAGTCAAAATCAACAAGCCACTGGACTCTAAATGTCATTTGTTTTTTTGTTAGGAACTGGCCAATATATGATTAGTTTCCACTTCCCCCAGTAACCTCTATATTCTACCCTAGAGATAGTATTTTCAACAATTCTACCCTAGTCCACGATTAGGGGTCTCTTGCTGAAAGTCTGTCATTAGTTCTATTTTATCTTCTGGGGAACCAATTCACACAAATGTGATTAAGTAAATTATAGCACATTTATTAGATTTCAAGCAACGAAAATTATGTTTATGGATTAATGACAAGGGAAGATGTAAAGAAAATCCGAAATATTATTGCCTTATCTCTACCTCTATCTACTTCAGTATCTGTGTTATCTATGTCCACACTTATATTTATATTGTTCATATGTTTAGGGAAACTCTTACGTAAATAAAAGAACGTATTATCCTGGACACTCAATAGCTTTCTTAACACCCTTTTCTCACTCTGCATCTCCCTATCAAGTATCTTCTTAGCATCTGGCTCACCCACTCTGGGTGGTCCAGGGGGCATCAGGGGTCAGGCCTGGGTTTTACTGTCTTCTCCTCCCTCCTTGTCCATTTCCCAACCCCTTCTCATTGAATGCAATCTCGGAAGTACAGATCTATTTTTAGGTTACTAGTACCAAAATAGAAAAAAATACAGAAAACAAATCACAAAGAATATTTTTGACAATATTTGTGGTCTTTTCATAATACCACAAAGTTTATATCATCACCTATAATTTTATGTACCTATACAATTAAATCTCATGCAGGTATTTCACATACATACTATCTAATAATCAATTGTGAGGCAGATTCTTCAGAGGTACCAGTAAGCCTTGCTTTGCCACAGGATCTAATACTGTTTAGACATACACACAGAAAGTCAATTAGAGCCTGTGAGAGATTTCTTTTTAATTAATTTTGATTATGTATTCAGTGAAACCTATTTCTATTTCCCAGTGCACAACTTTTAATGACTCTGTCTAATGCTCATGTGGTTTCTTCTGTTAAATTGTTTCCCTGTAGCATTTTCTTCTCTCAGTATGTTAGAAAAAAAAAATTCTACAGAGAAGAAGGGTTTATTGTATTTTAAATTTATGTTCATTGCTGGCTAGATGCCCAAAGGGCATTTGATAAATGCCTTCTCATAAATCAAAAAATAAATAGGTGGACAAAGATTCCCCAATAGCCTATCAGACTAACGTGGCCATCATTGTTTCACACCCATAATCTGCGCAGCTCATCAGCGATGGTCTTATCTGACATTGCAAATCAGAGCTGCAGATCCATGTAGTGATTATTGTATATTAGCTGTTTCATTAATTATTCAGTCATGTCAAAGGACTTTTACTAGGAATATTTAAACGTGAGGCCCACGAAGGAATGTTGATGTCTGCTGGGGTGGATTTATAGCTGATTGAATACCATACAATGGTTAATGGCAGTATGATAGGAAGTTTTTCCATCTTCTCAGTTTCTTATCAGTAAAATAGAAGGCAGAAAGCATGCTCATTATGCACAAAACTTTTAAAAAATGGCTATTACAACAAAATGGCAGATTTGATATTCATCAGAGTTTTTATACTTTAAGTTCTAGGGTACATGTGCACAATGTGCAGGTTTGTTACACATGTATACATGTGCCATGTTGGTGTGCTGCACCCATTAACTCGTCATTTACATAAGGTATATCCCCTAATGCTATCCCTCCCGCCTCCCTCCACCCCATGACAGGCCCCGGTGTGTGATGTTCCCCTTCCTGTGTCCAAGTGTTCTCATTGTTCAACTCCCACTGTGAGAACATGCGGTGTTTGGTTTTTTGTCCTTGCGATAGTTTTCTGAGAATGATGGTTTCCAGCTTCATCCATGTCCCTACAAAGGACATGAACTCATCCTTTTTTATGGCTGCATAGCATTCCATCGTGTATATGTGTCACATTTTCTTAATCCAGTCTATCATTGATGGACATTTGGGTTGGTTCCAAGTCTTTGCTATTGTGAATAGTGCTGCAATAAACATATGTGTGCATGTGTCTTTATAGCTGCATGATTTATAATCCTTTGGGTATATACCCAGTAATGGGATGGCTGGGTCAAATGGTATTTCTAGTTCTAGATCCCTGAGGAATCGCCACACTGACTTCCACAATGATTGAACTAGTTTACAGTCCCACCAACAGTGTAAAAGTGTTCCTATTTCTCCACATCCTCTCCAGCACCTATTGTTTCTGGACTTTTTAATGATCACCATTCTAACTGGTGTGAGATGGTATCTCATTGTGGTTTTGATTTGCATTTCTCTGATGGCCAGTGATGGTGAGCATTTTTTCATGTGTCTGTTGGCTGCATAAATGTCTTCTTTTGAGAAGTGTCTGTTCATATCCTTTGCCCGCTTTTTGACGGTGTTGTTTGTTTGTTTTTTTCTTGTAAATTTGTTTGAGTTCTTTGTAGATTCTGGATATTGGCCCTTTGTCAGATGAGTAGATTGCAAAAAATTTCTCCCATTTTGTAGGTTGCCTGTTCACTCTGGTGGTAGTTTCTTTTACTGTACAGAAGCTCTTTAGTTTAATTAGATCCCATTTGTCAATTTTGGCTTCTGTTGCCATTGCTTTTGATGTTTTAGACATGAAGTCCTGGCACATGCCTATGTCCTAAATGGTATTGCCTAGGTTTTCTTCTAGGGTTTTTATGGTTTTAGGTCTAACATTTAAGTCTTTAATCCATCTTGAATTAATTTTTGTATAAGGTGTAAGGAAGGGATCCAGTTTCAGCTTTCTCCATATGGCTAGCCAGTTTTCCCAGCACCATTTATTAAATAGGGAATCCTTTCCCCATTTCTTGTTTTTGTCAGGTTTGTCAACGATCAGATAGTTGTAGATGTGTGGTATTACTTCTGAGGGCTCTATTCTGTTCCATTGGTCTATATCTCTGTTTTGGTACCAGTACCATGCTGCTTTGGTTACTGTAGCCTTGTAGTATAGTTTGAAGTCAGGTAGCGTGATGCCTCCAGCTTTGTTCTTTTGGCTTAGGATTGTCTTGGCAATGCGGGCTCTTTTTTGGTTCCATATGAACTTTAAAGTATTTTTTTCCAATTCTGTGAAGAAAGTCATTGGTAGTTTGATGGGGATGGCATTGCATCTATAAATTACTTTGGGCAGTATGGCCATTTTCACAATATTGATTCTTCCTATCCGTGAGCATGGAATGTTCTTCCATTTGTTTGTGTCCACTTTTATTTTGTTGAGCAGTGCTTTGTAGTTCTTCTTGAAGAGGTCCTTCACATTCCTTGTATGTTGGATTCCTAGGTATTTTATTCTCTTTGAAGCAATAGCGAATGGGAGTTCACTCATGATTTGGCTCTCTGTTTGTCTGTTATTGGTGTATAAGAATGCTTGTGATTTTTGCACATTGATTTTGTATCCTGAGACTTTGCTGAAGTTGCTTATCAGCTTAAGGAGATTTTGGGCTGAGACGATGGGGTTTTCTAAATATACAGTCATGTCATCTGCAAACAGGGACAATTTGACTTCCTCTTTTCCTAATTGAATATCTTTATTCCTTTCTCCTGCCTGATTGCCCTGGCCAGAACTTCCAACACTATGTTGAATAGGAGTGGTGAGAGAGGGCATCCCTGTCTTGTGCCAGTTTTCAAAGGGAATGCTTCCAGTTTTTGCCCATTCAGTATGATATTGGCTGTGGGTTTGTCATAAATAGCTCTTATTATTTTGAGATACATCCCATCAATACCTAACTTATTGAGAGTTTTTAGCATGAAGGGCTGTTGAATTTTGTCAAAGGCCTTTTCTGCATCTATTGATATAATCATGCGGTTTTTGTCCTTGGTTCTGTTTATATGCTGGATTACGTTTATTGATTTGCGTATGTTGAACCAGCCTTGCACCCCAGGGATGAAGCCCACTTGATCATGGTGGATAAGCTTTTTGATGTGCTGCTGGATTCAGTTTTCCAGTACTTTATTGAGGATTTTTGCATCAATGTTCACCAGGGATATTGTTCTAAAATTCTCTTTTTTTGTAGTGTCTCTGTCACGTTTTGGTATCAGGATGATGCTGGCCTCATAGAATGAGTTAGGGAGGATTCCCTCTTTTTCTATTGACTGGAATAGTTTCAGAAGGAGTGGTACCAGCTCGTCTTTGTACTTCTTCATCAGAGTTTTAATGCAAAATAGCTCTGCAATTAGAAAGACCTCCATCCAAATCCCAGTCCAGAAATGCAATATTCATGTGACTTTGGTTATGTTACCTAATCTCTCTCTTCCACAAAATAATCACATAAAAAACTGAGATACTTGTCTCCTGCGTGAGGAAACAAAGTGGAAAGTTTCCTTGGTGGAGGTGGAAGCTCTCTGGCCAAATCTGACAGCATTTCTATTCCAAATATACTTTTCTATCTCAATATCACTTTTGGAAAATCTTAATGATTATTGTATACAGATTCAAACAGAAAAAGTGAAATGGGCTTTATTCACAGGTAATATGTTTGTATAAGTAGAAAATTCAAGTGAATTTACCAAAACTGTTAAACCTAGTAAGTGAATTGTACAAAGTGGCAAAATTACAGGTCAATATACAAAAGTCAGTTGTGATTTTATATACAAGCATTAAACAATTAGAAAATAAAATTTAAGACAATTTACTATTTACAATAATCTCAAATATATAAAATGATTAGAAATAAATCCACCATAAGATTTTCAAGCTCTCTTCGAAAGAGTTTCATGCTTTGTTGAGTACAATTCAAGAAGTCCTAACTAAAGTGAGATATGTACCATAATCATGTTAGAAAACATAATATAGTGAGCAAGTTACTTCAACTGAGTTCAAGACTTATGATAAAGCAACATATCAAGACAGGATAAGATTTGAATGAGGATTAATGAATATATTATGAAGCAGAATAGAGTCCAGAATTAGATTAATATGTAATAGAAAAATTGATTTTCTGCAAAAGCATCAAACAGTCTAACGGGAAAGGAAAGTCCCTTCAACAAACAGTGTTGAAACAACTCCAAGTCCAAATTTGTGGAGGGGGATGTCCCAGATTCTAATTCACATTATTTTTTCTCTGGGTGTAAAAAAGTGAAATAAATACATCTTCAGAAACAAAGTATTGTGACAGCAGATGAGACTCATATGATTCTAGACTAAATATCAACAACATTCCCATTTTGACGTCAATTTTTGGTATCAGCACTTTTCATTATGGTTTCAAAGATGTTTTCTTATTCCATCTTTACTGAAAACTTTATATCCTCCTTTTTTTTTTTAGCCTCATGAGATTAACTTGGCACACATAATCATGGAGGTAAATTGTGAGTCTTTTCTATGTTATAATTAGGTTATATTATCTAAAAATGTAGACTGATCTTAAATTCACTATTAAGGGGATATGAAAGTATAAAGCCTTAAAATACGAAGCAAGTCTTGTTTTATCAACCAGATTCTAGTATTTTAATTAAAATACATATTTCTAACAATGAATTCTCCTGTACCTCTCAGAGACCAGAGCCACTACCTCTAAATGTTTGCTGTTGTTGTTAGGAACTGGCCAATAAATGGTCATTTTTGTGGTCGCCATACCTGAGATGAATTGAGGTTGATCATAGACTTAAATGGAAAAGCTAAAACTATAAATCTAAAAGCTAATGACATTTATCTTTGTTCAATGTGTATTTTATCCCTATCCCCCCATGAACATGGAAAGAATGTTTTCCCACTATAGCATACAGACTCTGAAGTTTTTTCTTTGTATGTTGTTCATTGTTCAGACTTAACAAGTGTTATTAAAATATTAAAATGTATACTAAGTACTATTCAGCAATGAAAAGGACTAAAATGTTACAACATGTTCCATGATACAACACAGATAAACTTCAGTGCCAGTGAAAAAGCCAGATGCAAAAGACTTCACGTTTGCATTAGTTTCCTACCGTTGTATAACAAATGACCATACACGTCATACCTCGGCACAGGACCGCTTCATCAGCTCACATTTTCTGCAGGTTAGAAGTATGGGCACGGCCTCCTAGGTCTTCCGCTCAGGGTCTTGCAAGGCTGAAATCCAGGGTCAGCCTGGCTGGCTCTCATCGGGAGGCCCCAGGGAAGAATCTGCTTTCTAGTTCATCCAAACTTCTGGCAGACCCAGCTCCTTGAAGCTGTCAGACTGAGCACCTCACTGCCTTGCTGGTTCTCGGCGGGAGATTCTGTCAGGTCCTGGGGTCCAGCCTTCAGTCCCTGATTGGGGCCTCTTTCAACTCAGAAGCCAGGAAGGGCTCAGCAAATCCCCTTAGTGCTTCAAACACCTTCTTGCCTTTCCCTCTGCTCCCAACCATAAAAAGCGCACTGCTTTTAAGGGGCTCATGTGATTAGCTTAAGCTCACCTGAATAATCTCACTTTTATCATAAAAAGTACCATGGTCATGATTATAACTCCGAGGAGTGAGGGTCATAAAGGCCACCCTAAATTCTGCCTACACAATATTAAATTATTCTACTTATATGAGTGTCCAAAAATGCAAAACTATAGATATAGAAAGCAGTTAGTAAGTACCTGGGGCTGGAGGAAGAAATGAGGATGGATTGCAGATCCACATGAGGGAGCATTTTGGGGTGATGGAAATGTTCCAAGACTGGATTATGGTGAAGGATATACAACTCTATAATTTTGCTAAAAACACCTAAATTGCACACCTAAAGTGGATAAATTTATGGCATATAAGTTATAGAATTACAGAGCTCTTAAAATAGCATATTGATGAGTAAGAGTATATATAAGCTATATATATTATATATATTCTGCATATATTTAATATACCTACATATGTATAGATAAGTGTATTATATAGGTATTTTATATATATATATATACACACACACACACCAATATAGAGAGTGAGGTGTGTTTATGTATGTAGTGACCTTGGGGTAGTCAAGGATTTCTTAGAAAATACAAATAACCATAAAAGACAATTTATGACTTAGACTTCAACAACACTGAAAAAGGAGATCAAAGCACTTCTGAATAAAATAAATAGGTAAGATAATTACTAGAAAGGCTATACACCAGATGAAAATATTCTCATTACATATATTTGACAGGTGACTTGCATCCAGGATATATTAAAAACTGCTATAATTCTACATAAAAGACAAATCACCCATTAAAAATCAACAAATGACTTGTACACATACTTCAAATAAGAAATATGAGTTGCCAGTAAGCATCTATGCAAGGTTCACAACATCACTAGTCATCAAAGAAATGCAAACTCTGCCCACTCTTAGATACTATGTCATACCCAGTAGAATAGCTACAAAAGACTGACAATGCCAAATTTTGACAAAGATGCATAGAGGCAGAAACGTTATTGCCAGTGGGAACATAAAATGTCATAGCAACTTTGGAAAAGCATTTTGCTTTTTCTTATATAATAAAACCCTACACCTATTCTATCACTGGCAAGTTTATCCCTAGTTATTTACACAGTAAAAATTAAAATTTATGTCCTTAAAAATGTTGCTAAGATCATTAATAATAATTTTAGTGATATTATATAATCCCTAGAAAAATACTTAAATGTCCATCGACAGAAAAATGGTAATTATAACCTGCTACGTTCATACAATTAAATGCACCAATAAAAATGACTGAATTACCACTATCCATTAAAACCTGAATAAATATCATAAGCATATCCTTGAGTGAAAGAAGCCAGACATAGAATGAATCCATTTCTATAAAGTTTAAAAATAGGGCTGGGCACAGTGGCTCACGCCTGTAATCCCAGCACTTTGGGAGGCTGAGGCAGGTGGATCATGAAGTCAGGAGATCAAGACCATCCTGGACAACATGGTGAAACCTCGTCTTTACTAAAAATACAAAAATTAGCCGAGAGTGTTCCTGTAGTCCCAGCCACTCAGGAGGCTGAGGCAGGAGAATCACTTGAACCTGGGAGGCGGAGGTTGCCGTGAGCCGACATCATGCCCCTGCACTCCAGCCTTGGGTGACAGAGTGAGACTCCTTCTCAAAAAATAGGACAAACCAGTCTATGGTACAAAACTCAGCGTAGAGTTCAGTGTAGAGGTTACCTAGAGAGTAATACTTAGACAGGGCATTGTGAGAACTCCCAAAGTGTCAGTTACAAGGCTAGATTCACTATGTGATAATTTATTGAGCTATATACTTATGATTTATGTGCCTTTCCTTATGTGTGTTAACCTTCAATAAAAACTACCTCAAAAAGAGTTGTGAATAAAAGGAATGAGAATACAAGCCTTAGACTTGGAATAAATATTTGCAAAACACATACATGATAAAGGACAAAATATACAAATAATGCTTAAAACTCAACAGGAAGAAAATGAAAACCCTGATTTAAAAATGGGGAACAGATCTGAATAGACACCTCACCAAAGAAGATCTAGAGATGGCAAATAAGCATATGAAAATATATTCAATATCATATGCCATTAGGGAATTGCAAATTAAAACAGCAATGAGATACCACTCCATACCTGTTATAATGGCCAGAATCCAAAACACTGACAGCCCCACATGCTGACCAGGATGTGGAACAACAAGAATGTTAATTCACTGCTAGTGAGAATGCAAAGTGGTCTAGCCACGTTGGAAGACAGTCGTCCAGTTTCTTACAAAACTGAACGTACTCTTACCATACAATCTAGCAATTGTGCTCTTTGGTTTTTATTCAAGTGAGTTGAAAGTATCTGTCCACTCAAAAACCTGAAAAGAATGATAATAGAAGCTTTATGTGTAATTGTCAAAACTTGGAAGCAACCAAGATGTCCTTCAGTAGGTAAATGGATAAATAAACCACCGTACATCTGGACAATAGAATATTATTCAACCCTAAAAATAGATGAGCTATCAAGGCATGAAAATACATGAGAGAACATTAAATGCAAATTACTAAGAGAAAAGTCCAGTCAAAAAAACTATATACTGTATAATTCCAACTATTTGACATTCCAGAAAAGGCAAAAATATAGAGAGAGTAAAAAAATTCAGCAGTTGTCAAGGGTTGGGGTGAGGTGGGAGGGATGAGCACACAGAGCAAAAGAAGTTTTCGGAGAGTAAAAGCAGTGAAAGTACTCTGTGTAATACCATCATGATCGATCCATGCCATTTCGAATTTGTCAAAATCTGTTGAATACACAAATCCAAGAGTGAGCCGTCATGTACACTCTGGACTCCGGGTGATGAAGTGTCAGTGTAGGTTCGTCAATGGTAACCAATGCACCACTCTGTGGGGGATGTGATCGTGGGAGAGGTCGTGCATGTGTAGGGGCAGAGGGCATATGGGAATTCTGTACATTCCACTCATTTTTGCTGTGAACCTAAAATTGCTCTAAAAAACAAAATCTTTTTTAAAAAATGTGTGAGGGAAGAATTAAAGAGATAACACGAAAAAGGCTGCCAATGACCAAAAGTGTGACAATTTGGGTATCTTCAAAATGACTGTAATACACTGAAATACAAGGAATGCATCAATGCCCATAAGGTGACTGTTATGATTTAAAATAGACTAGGAGAGAAAGAGCTAGATACAAGAAAAAAGAAACTGTGTGAGGGTACCCAAAGGTGCTGCTTATCACTGAAGTGTCCCCACAGAACAGACCCTGGGACAAGGATTTGTGTGTAGTTTACTTGAGAAACAACCAGCAAGAGTGGGGAAGTGATTGAGAAAGGAAGATTATAGAATGTCCGCTACTAAGCTGGTTATCGTCAACGGACCTTAATCCCACTGGAGAACCCTTGAAACCAGTGTAGAACAAGTGCCTCGGAGATGTCCCACCTGGGGGCAAAGGTTCTTGGATCTTGGTTCACCCATTCCTGCCATGTGTTGGTTAAGGTTATTGATGGGGAAGGACTTGGCGGCATTCATTCTGCTGCACTCTGCTCCACTGTGGTGCAGGCAAAGTGAGATCTGCTCATCAGCAAAAGTTGTCAGGAAGCAGCTGCAGATTCTGGTTGGGAGGAGGAGAACCCTGTGCTGAACTGCCTCAGCCTAAAGGACCTGGGCATCCCGGGGTCCACCATAGCCACCAACTCCTCACTAAGCAGGAAAATAAAGGAAAAGAATTGACATATTTCTGTCCTTCTTTACGAAATGTATCTGATGGTAATAAAAAAAAAAGCACTAGCTCATGAGAGAATTTTTATGGAAAAATTTCCACTGATAAATAAGAAATAACAGAATAAGAAAATAACCATTTTGCACACTAATAATAAATTCAGATTATCCATGGGTGAAAGATGGCAAGCTTTTAAAGGCAGTGCCAGGTGTCACCCTGAAGCCAGTGATCAATGTTGGCATGGCTGGAAGGTGCACCAGGCGTGCTGTGAAGTACACAGCCCCACCCATGAGTGTTCTGCATTCTGAAAAGTTAACCTTCAATCTAATCAATCCTTTAGAGATTGCTTTAAGTTTACAGTCAATTCAGAAGATGGAGGAACAAGTTCCATAGCCACATGAAGCAATCAATAACTCCAGAAACAGTTACATTCTACAAGGGTACTGACCCAGTTACTTCAATTCAATTGCATGAAAAAAAATATGATGGGGGGATTGTATTATATTAAAAGAGACCTAAGAGATTGAACAAACAAATATGATGGATGATCTTTCTGGAATCTGCTTCAAATAAACCAAATGTAAAATATGATTTCTGAGATAATGAGAGAAACTCAAGTATGAAATGAATACCAGATGGTACCAAAGAAATATCTTTATTTTTTGATAAATGTGATAAAGACATTATGGTTAAGTAAGGAAATGTCCACATATTTAGAGGTAGATATACTAAATTTATAGCAGTAAAATCATAAAACATCTGGAAATTTGCTTTAAAATACCTCAGTAGTGTGTATGTGAGTGAGAATCTGTGTGTGTGTGTGTGTGTGTGTGTGTGTGTGTGTATGAAAGAGAGAGAGAGAGACATAGAGGGAGAAAGGGACTACATGCAAAGAACACATAGAGAGACCACAAGTATGGCTAAATCTAGACCTTATTTGGATTTAAGATATATGGAACTTCTTTGAAAATGTTCATTAAACATGTAATTCTAAAAATTGAGTAGTCACTGCTGGCTAGCTATGATGGAGCAATACGATTTAGATTTTGCCCTCCACTTGTCCTATGGACAAAATATATGAATCAACATTTGCAGATATTAGACAACAGTCATCATTTGACCATGTATGATCCCTTTGAGAAAGAAAGAAAACAAGGTGATTCTTACGTTCACAACAGATTTATACATAGAAGCACAGTTCTGAACATGAAGCAGGGAGAGGAATCCCAAAAACGAGACGGCAGTATCCTTGGGTAGAGGAGACAGAGATCGGACTGGAGGGTTCTGAGGAGGTAGACATTTCCAGAAGTTCCAGAAGAACTCTGGAGAACAGAATGTTACCCAATACCCACACTAAAAAATGCTGCCCAAAGAACTCTGAGTCTTTGCTTAATACTAACATGGGCATGTTCATGCAAAGAATGGCTGGCCATCTGTAAACAACACTGTCCTACAACACACAGAAGGCTGGTAACTGTTCAAGTTCTCAACATACAGAAGACTGATAATGTTCAAGTCCTCACCTACCAGTGTTGAGTGGCTTTGATCCACTTGATTCAACAGAGACCCCAAAAAGGCATTCCTCAATAGCCGTATATGCTATCCCTATGTTGGCAGCTAATTTAGACATCTCTAACAAAGATTGAAACAACGCTTGAAGGACTCAAACTAAACCATAAGTAATTTACCTGCCTACAAGAGTCAAGCCCAGAGCTCTTTAAAGGATGGGAGCAATTCAAACATTCAGCAAATTTAAATTCAAAATATTCAACAACATCAAAAAATACTAGACACATGCCAAGAAACAAAATGCTGTGACATATTAAGAAAAAAAATTACATTTTCCATTTATATCTTTTGATATATTAGAGGAACCAGGAATTCATGCTGTGTACTTCAATGGCCACAATCCTAGGCCATTTCTTTTTTGCTAAACTCTACTTCTACCTGGAGAATTATAAGTAGCATACATTTAAGCAGCCAATACAAACCAGTAAGTCATTTTCCTAGTATATCTCTCTTGACAAATGGAATTTTTTTTCCTAGGATTTCTAGAACTGTACCAATTTCACTCAAAGCTCCTTTAGATAATTTCAGTCAATATTGGCCTATTCTTCAAAAATGTTTGCCTTTAAGAAGGTATTGTTTCATGAGGTCAGGAGATAGAGACCATCCTGGCTAACACAGTGAAACCCCGCCTCTACTAAAAATACAAAAAATTAGCCGGGCGTGGTGGCAGGCCCCTGTAGTCCCAGCTACTCGGGAGGCTGAGGCAGGAGAATGGCATGAACCCGGGAGGCGGAGCTTGCAGTGAGCCGAGATTGCGCCACTGCACTCCAGCCTGGGCGACAGAGCGAGACTCCGTCTCAAAAAAAAAAAAAAAAAAAAAAAAGAAGTTATTGTTCGAGTGAGTATGTATTTTGTATCTACAATGTTAAGCTCTCAGGGTGGTATTCTATGGGTGTAGCTACCCCCAAATATACGTTAGCTTGATTTTACCAAAGAGCTTCCATAAGTGCTCTTGGTAAATATCAGGGTTAACTCTTCCAGGTATGTGTGAGCCCGTCAAGCTACCAACTGGTTTCAAGCTGCCAACTATTCTTTACTTTGATGATTACCTTCTATCCACAAAATGATTGTTTATAGGTATCAGAAAACACATTTCTATGACAAGTCAGGTAAGTGGCAAATCTTTCCCATCCATTGTACCTAGGAATATTTCTCAATAGATCATCACTAAGGTTAATAGTTACTTATTGGTTCCTGGCTGTGTTGTCGAGCTTTAAGTCCTTGGATAAAATTAAATTTCCAAAAAAAGAAAGTACTCAAATATATAATACTAAATCTATGAATAACGTAAATTTTCCTATTTTTACAACTATTTAAAGCGATTTTAAAAATTAATGTGGATTTTAGATTGTGAAGAATATAGTGCTAAAGACATAGGCACTCTGTTATTGGCACTGCTCAGCTCTCACCTGGAGCACTCTGTCTGATCTGAGTGCCAAGTTTTATAAGGAACACTGCCTAACCGGAATGTATTCAGAGGAGGCTGACCAGGATGGAGAAAATTTCAGACACTGTATTATATCAGAAATGTTTGACTTGAGATCAACAAAGCAAGAGCATTTTGATGGCGCCATCCTTTATGAGAATAGGCCATCCCCACATCGGAGGTGCCAAAGCGAGGAATGCTCGTGGAGGAGACTATGCCCAGGGTGTGGGGACCTTGTTTGGTATGCCTGTCACATTTCCCACCTAGAATAATTAGGCACATTTTACATGCACACTGATCATCTTCGGATTAATGAAGGAAGGAAAAAAGGAAGGATAAAGAAACTTTCTTTGAAAGCTAAGTTTCTGTGACTCCAAAAATTTTTTGTGTTTTTAAAATTTCTAATCATTTTACAGAATCCCTCGAAAATCAGGATCAAAACAAGGTTCAATACAGTATTAGAATTAGAATTCTCCAGAGAAAAAGAATCAATAGTATAGATAGGTAGATAAAGAAGATAGATAGATAGATAGATAGATAGATAGATAGATAGATAGATACACACACATAAAGAGATTTATTATAAGGAATTGACTCACCCAATTATGGAGGTTGGCAAGCACAAAATGTACAACTGCTCTTGCCAAATATCAAGGTTAACCCTTGTAGGTATATCTGAGCCCATCAAGCTACCACTTGGTTTCAAGCTGCCAAGTATTCTTTACTTTGATTATTACCTTCTAGCCATAAAATGATTGTTTGTAAGTATCAGAAAACATTTCTACAACAAGTCAGGTAAGTGGCAAATCCTTCCTGTTCATTGTACCCAGGAATATTTCTCAGTAGATCATAACTAATGTTAATAGTTACTCATTGGTCCTCGGCTACGTTGTTGAGCTTTAAGTCCTTGGATAAAATCAAAATTTCCAAAAAGAGTAATTACTTTAATATATAATGATAAATCTATAAATAACTATAAATTTCCTTCTTTGGGCAATTATTTATAAGGCTGGTATCCCTGAATAAGGCGGCATTCTCCAGCTGACTGCCTTCAGACTGGAACTGCACCCCTAGCTGTCCTGGGTCTTCAGCCTGAAGGCTGCTTCTAACTCAACTTCTCTCCCTCTTCATGGGCCCCCTCCTCCTGCTCTGTCTTGCTCAACTTCCCTCCTTTTTCTTCCCCTGATTATTCTTCTCTTGCTTTTGGGTAGGATTAACTGCTGTTCTTAAATTTCTGAAGAAATCTAACATATTGAAAAACAATTGTACTCTAGCTCATTTCAAATGAGATAGGAAGTTGTCATAAAACTAGAATTCCTATATTTTGGGGGTATTTTTTATTTTAGTTTATTTATTGTGACGTTTGCGTGAGTCAAATGAAGCAAAAAACGTTTACAAGTTAGTATATGCAAAGATATCTGAAACTTAAATGGGAATGAAGACATGAGCCCTATTCATATCAACCACAGGAGTTTAGCTTTTATATTTTTATATTAGAAATATTTTTAATATTGGTATTATTTATACCATGTAGACATTCACCATCATTTTTCTAATTATAGTTCTCAATTATATTGATTCATGTTATTATACTTAATAACTGCATAATATTTCACTTGGATTATTAAATACTGATCCTACAAAAAGACTACCAGAAAAAAAATTGACTAAAGTTTTGATTAAAATTTCAGTTTAATCCAAACAATCATTCAAGTAACCATATAAATAAAGCTTAATTGTTAGATGGTTAATGAAAATGTATTCCTCGTCTTCCTCTGCAAAATAAATATAAATCAAAATTTATTATGAGAAACTTGAGGAAGATGACAATTTATTATTACCAAAAGAAAAATGTAATGAAAAATTTAAAATATTATTTCCAAGACAAGAATCCTGAAGAACATTTGGCTGAAATATAAATTTCTATTAAGGACAAGAGTAAGCAGACCTCATCCAGTGTTGTTTAATATTGTTTGCCTTTCATGGAATCATTACAAATAATGGCTCTGGTTGCCAGTCAAATTATAGGACACCCAGTTAAATTTGAATTTCAGACAAATAATGAATGATTCTGTAGTCTATATTTAGTATTAGTATTCTTCATTTAAATGTATCGCAAATCCTGCTTGAGACACACTTATACTAAACAATCATTTGTTGTTCATCTGAAATTCAAATTTAACTAGGTGTCTTCTATTTTTATTTGCTAAATATGGTGACCCTAATGATGGCACCACTTAACAATTCCCTACAATCTAGAATCTGTTATTCTCACTGATTTGTACAGCACTTCATGCCCAATCCAGCTTCAACTGCACTTTTGATAATCTTGGTGTTCTCAGACATTTAATTTCCAAATATTTCTCACCTTTACTACCAAGTCCAACAAAAAATGGTTTATGAGCGGCAAGTGTGGGCAGGAGAGTGGAATGTACTAAAGAAAGATAAATGTTAAGGGAAAATTAAAATCCATCATGCCTTTCTCTGTCACAAGCAATTAGCAAATCGTGTCCTAAAACTGGCCACTAAACTCTGCTTTCTGGCTAATATAATCTGAATGTTTGTGTCTCCCTGTAATTCGGGTGTTGAAACCCCATCAACAATGGATGCTGTTAGGAAGTGGGGGTCTTTGGGAGGTGATCGGGTCATGAGGGTGGAGCGCTCATCAATGCCATTAGTGCCCTTATAAAAGAGGACCCACAGGGCTGCTTTTCCCCTACCCTGTGGGGGGATACAATGAAAATACTGTGGCCAATGAACCAGGAGGCAGGGCTTCAGTAGAAACTGCATCTGCTGATGGCCACATCTGTAACTTCCAGCCTCCAAAACTGTAAGGAATAAATTTCTGTTGTTTCTAACCCACCCGGTCAATGGTAATTTGTTGCAGCAGCCTGAAAGGTTGACGAGGTTGGCATAGAAAGAGAAAAAATGTAAGACGAATCTGTAAAAAGATGCCAGAAAAAAGCAAGAACAAAAGGAGTCAGAAGCAGTTAATTAACTCATCAATTGCAAACAAAATTGAAAGAAAGATGCTGATGAGGAAATGGGGTGAGAGAATTTCAGACATCAAAAAATCCTCCTAAATATAAGCTATCTAGATGAACCACATAATGGTCTATGGCATAATCACCACTACAAGAGAAATTTGCCAAAATCGTTTTCCAGCCAGATGTGTCAGTCATGGTGCTCTGTGCTCTGAGTAATAATTTTCTGGGCAATTAACACGAAACTGTTCAAAAATGCTCTGACTTTCCAGGTTCCCTCAGCATTCAGTGTTGTAGTATCAGGAGTGAAGGTGTCAAACATTGTAATGTGAGTTGGAAAGGAATGGAAATAAATTTATACAACAAAAAAAGACATCTAAGAATAAGGATATAAGTAGGGTGTGTTTTGTACAAGATTACATAATGCAATTTGAATTGTTCCTCATTTTTATGTTTAATTATAGTTTTTATTGCCCTCATAAGGAATTCAGCTGGTAAAATAACAGCTGAGAAGAATTACAGTTCTCTAAAAACTTTCAACCAATCCAATATAATGTATCTACGTGATCGTAGAGAAAGAACATGACTGTTGGATTTCACTTTACACTGTCTTGCTCTGTGGAAGAATTTTGCTTAGGCTAAATGGGAAACTTTGTAGAAGTGACCAGGAAGGCGAGATGAAATCAGAAAAGAACCATTTTCCTCTGCAACCGCCTGAGGCTACTCACTTACATCTGTAAAATATGCATCAGCTGTTAATGGAAATGTAGTGTCCTCGTGAAGGAAAATCAGAATTCAAGTGTGTGAAAAGCTGTCAGCTGCATAGCCCAAGAGCCCTATAATATTAACCTCTATGCAAGTTTAAATTGTGCCTCTGGAAGTGAGATTACGGAATAAATGTCCCACCGCATAAGAATCAGAGAAGCATTGAGAGTTTCTATGCATTCAGAACACTGCTCAAACAGGTCAATATATATGGAACTGAAAATTTTAGTCTTGCAAAAATCTGAAGTGCCATATAATGTTTAGGGTATTCCAAATTTAGGAATATATGCTATATGTGACCAGATTTCAAATAAAATCTAACATAAGTTTTACAATCAAGCTGGATGAAAATAAAGAGAAACACAGAGGAGATATTTGTGCATGCTATCTTTAGTATATTTTTCTGGTCAAATAACCTGTGCTTATTTAAAAAGGGTAAATAAAAACTACCATTAGTAAGCAACTTTTTATAAAATATTTCTATTTGTAGAATTCTAATGACATTGTCCTGGAGGAAAGAGAGACTAGAAAATCTCTCACTAAAAGTAGATGGAAAAATTATGTTCCCTATTCCCTGGAGAAAAGTTCCCACTACCCATTTAAGATGAAACATGAAATTTTATTCATGGAAACCTTCCCATTCTCAGGGCTCTTAAATTAAACTTTAAACTCTATGAACTTCTGATGAAGTCATATTCAAATATTCAAGTATAAAATTATGCATGCCTATGAACTATATAAGTAAATATATGACTTAAAATCAAAGTCAATTTTACTAAGTAAAATAAATCAGAATGTCACCGGAATATTGCCTTCACTAGCAGCTCTGTTGTACACCATCACTCGGATGGTGTCTGTTCACCCTGGCCTGTCTTCAGTGACAGTCCTGTTAGTTGCGTGTAACCAAAGTCCCCTTGCCCCTGATGTTTCCCCAGCATTTTCCATCCACAGACCCCCTACCCTGCTCTGTGGCTATAAATTCCCCTTGCTGAGATGTATTCAGAGTTGAGCCCAATGTCCTTCTAACTGAAAGCCCCCACTGCAGTGGTCCAGGACCTATCATGATGACCCTGAATAAAGCCAGCCTCAGCCAGGCATGGTGGCTCATGCCTGTAATTCCAGCACTTTGGGAGGCTGAGGTGGGCAGATCACGAGGTCAGGAGACCGAGACCATCCTGGCTAACACAGTGAAACCCTGTCTCTACTAAAAATACAAAAACATTAGCTGGGCATGGTGGCATGCGCCTGTAATCCCAGCTACTCGGGAGGCTGAGGCAGGAGAATGGTGTGAACCCTGGAGGCGGAGCTGAAGTGCCACTGCACTCCAGCCTGGGCGACAGAGCAAGACTCTGTCCCCAAAAAAAAAAAAAAAAAAAAAAAAAAAAAAGCCAGTCTCAGCCTCACCATGTGTGTTAGTCCATTTGCATTTCTATAAAAGGCTACCTGAGACTGGGTAATTTATAAAGAAGAGAGGTTTATTTGGCTCACAGGTCTGCAGGCTGTACAGGAAGCATGGTATTGGCATCTGCTTCTGGTGAGGCCTCAGGAAACTTCCAGTCATGGTGGAAGGTGATGGGGAGGCAGCGTGTCACATGGCAAGAGAGGGAGCAAGGGGCAGGGGCAGGCTCCTTTAAACAACCAGCTCCCGTGTGAACTCAGAGCAGTGAGAACTCACTTGTTTCTGTGAGGAGGGCACCAACCCATTTATGAGGGATTCACCCCCAGGATCCAAACACCTCCTATCAGGCCCACTTCCAACCCTGGGGATCACATTCCAACATGTGATTGGAGGAGACACACATCCAAACCATAACAGGATGCTTTACAAGCAGCGTGGAATAATTTTTCTTTAACTTCTGATATAGTTTGGCTTTGTCTCCCCACCCAAATCTCATCTTGAGCTGTCATCCCCACATGTTGAGGGATGGACCTGGTGGGAGGTGACTGGATCCTGGGGTGGTTTTCCTCATGCTGTTCTCCTGATAGTAAGTGAGTTCTCATGAGATCTGATGGTTTAAAAGCGGCAGTTTCCCCTGTGCTCTCTCTCTCTCTCTCCTGCCACCATGTAAGACATGCCTTGTTTCCCCTTAGCTTTCTGCCATGATTGTTAGTTTCCTGAGGCCTCCCTAGCCATGTGGAATTGTGAGTCAATTAAACCTCTTTCCTTTATAAATTACCCAGTCTCTGGTATTCTTTACAGCAGTGTGAAAATGAGCTAATATAACTCCATTAGGTGAAGGGGTGGACATTGGTTTCGTCTTTCAGAAACGTCTCTGAGGAGAGTCTGAAGGTGTTCAGCACTGAGGGAGTGGGGCTGAGTGTGGGCTGAAGTCAGGAGGAGGAGAAGGTCTTCTTGAGGTGCTGCACTCTGGCACCCCTCTCCCACACACCACCACCAGCCTCTAATCCAGAAGCCTGGAGGCTTATTTTGTGGAAAAACTTGACCTGGAGGCACAGAGATTTGAGCAACCAGCCATAGCAGCAGCCTGGGTGACGTGAGAGGTTCAAAACAGGGAGATTAAATTCTATAACTGAACCACAGAGACTTCAAAACCTTTCCCTGACCAACTCTTAAAGTGCCGGCCACTGGTTTATATCACTCCAGACAGGATATGGGAGGAGTCCCCTCCAGAGAGACCCAATAGTCACAGGAAAAAAAAAAAAACCCTTTCCAAGCCCTGCCCAGCCCAAGAAACAGCTATTTTGCCAGCCAATTGCTCTGAAGATGAGCCCTGCCCTCGGCTGCCCTGCCCAGCACACAAAGCTATGAATAGGCTTTTTAGGGGTGTACTCTGAAATATGAACAGAGAAAGACACCAAAAGCAAACAAACAAAAACAAAAGCCAGCGGAATTTTTAAGCACCAGAAAATGCATTACTTCATTCCTTGAGAGATGAGAGTGTACCAGTCATCAATTGACACCACAATGCTGCACTGCCAAGATGTCAGTGCATGTTTTCTGGCAATCAACAAATCATGGCGCAATGAGCCATACCAGAGCTGCTGTGGAAATGTCTAAGAGGACTACAAGAGAGGGGAGGCCAGCAAAGGGATGGAGGAAGTGGATTGGAGAAGAAGAGCCTGAAACGGGGGAGTCCAAGAGCAGGATGAAGGGGGTCCCTGAACAGCAATGATCATTAGAGGAATCCCATATGAGGTGGAAATGTTCTGGTCTTAGTGTCTTCACTCCATATGGGGAGAGAATATTCCAGCACCCTCACAGTGCCCATTCTTTGGTCTGGGGAAGCTGGGGGGAGTCAGTTGCGGGGAGGATGCTGCAACAGATACCCACAGTAGTGACAGCAAATGCTGGCAGCTCACTATACTTCTCTCAGTGAGTCCCTGCTTGCAAGGAGATCTCAGCAACGCACCTCTGTGACCAGCACACAACCACCAGACCTATGTGCTTGTTCTGCTATGTGCTAAGGACATCACAACAAACATTCATTTCTGCTCATGAGGCTGGGGTCTGATTGCATTACACTGAATGTGCCCTGGCTCAGCATGTGATAAGGTTTTGTTGTGTCCCCACCCAAATCTTGTCTTGAATTCCCATGTGTTGGGGAGGGGTCTGGTGGGAGATAAATTGAATCATAGTGGGAGGTCTTTCCTATGCTGTTCTTGTGCTAGTAAGTCTCATGAGATCTGATGGTTATTATAAGGCATTTTCCTGCACAAATTCTCTTTTTGCCTGCTGCCATCCATGTAAGACGTGACTTGCTCTTCCTTGTCTTCCACCATGATTGTGGGGCCTCCCCAGCCATTTAGAAATGTGAGCCCAATTAAACCTCTTTCTTTTATAAATTGCCCAGTCTTGGGTATATCTTTATCAGCAGTGTGAGAATGAACTAATACAGTAAATTGGTACCAGTAGAGTGGGGTGTTGCTGAAAAGATACCCAAAAATGTGGAAGCAACTTCGGAACTGGTTAACAGGCAGAGGTTGGAACAGTTTGGAGGGCTCAGAAGAAGACAAGAAAAGTGGGAAAGTTTGGAACTTCCAAGAGACTTGTTGAATGGCTTCAACAAAAATATTGATAGTGATATGAACAATAATGCCAAGGCTGAAGTGGTCTCAGATAGAGATGAAGAGCTTGTTGGAAACTGGACAAAGATGACTCTTGTTATGTTTAGCAAAGAGAATGGCGGCATTTTGCCCCAGCCCTAGAGATTTGGGGAACTTTGAACTTGAGAAAGATGATTTAGGGTATCTGGCAGAAGAAATCTCTAAGCAGCAAAGCATTCCAGAGGTGATTGGGTGCTGTTAAAAGCATTCAGTTTTATAGGGGAAGCGGAGCATAAAAGTTCGGAAAATTTGCAGCCTGACAACACAATAGAAAAGAAAATCCCATTTTCAGAGGAGAAATTCAAGCCAGCTACAGAAATTTGCATAAGTAACAAGGAGCTGAATATTAACCCCCAAGACAATGGGAAAAATGTCTCTAGGCCATGTCAGAGGTCTTCACAGCAGCCCCTCCCATCACAGGCCTGGAGTCCTAGGGGCAAAAAGTGCTTTCATGGGGTGGGCCCTGGGTCCTTGTGCTGTGTGCAGCCTACGGACTTGGTGTCCTGCATCCCAGCTGCTCCAGCTATGAAAGGGGCCAACACAGAGCTCGGGCCATGGCTTCAGAGGGTGCAAGCCCCAAGCCTTGGCAGCTTCCATTTGGTATTGAGCCTGTGAGCATACAGAAGTCAAGAATTGAGGTTTGGGAACCTCCACCTAGATTTCAGAAAATGTATGCAAATGCCTGGATGTCCAGGCAGAAATTTGCTGCAGGGGTTGGGGGGTCATGGAGAACCTCTACTCGGGCAGTGCAGAAGGGAAATGTGAAGTCAGAGCTTCCACACAGAGTCCCTACTGGGGCACTGCCTAGTAGAGCTGTGAGAAGAGGGCCACCATCCTCCAGACCCCAGAATGGTAGATCCACTGACAGCCTGCAATATGCTCCTGGAAAAGCTGCAGACACTCAACGCCAGCCTGTGAAAGCAGTCAGGAGGGGAGCTCTACCCTGCAAAGCCACAGGGGTGGAGCTGCCCAAGACCACAGGAACTCACCACCCCTTGCATCAGTGTGACCCGGACGCAAGACATGGAGTCAAAGGAGACCATTTTGGAGCTTTAAGATTTGACTGCCCTGGTGGATTTTAGACTTGCATGGGACCTGTAGCCCCTTTTGGCCAGTGTCTCCTATTCAGAATGGCTGTAATTATCCATTTCCTGTGCCTCCATTGTTATCTAGGTAGTAACTAATTTGCTTTTGATTTTAATGGCTCATAGGCAGAGGGACTTGCCTTCTCTCAGATGAGACTTTGGACTCTGGACTTTTGAGTTAATGCTGAAATGAGTTAAGACTGGGGGGCTGTTGGGAAGGTATGATTGGTTTTGAAATGTGAGGACATGAGATTTGGGTGGCGCCAGGGGCAGAATGATATGGTTTGGCTGTGTCCCTACCCAAATCTCATCTTGAATTCCCACGTGTTGTGAGAGGGACCTGGTGGGAGGTAAATGAATCATGAGGGCAGGTCTTTCCTGTGCTGTTCTTGTGATAGTGAGTAAGTCTCACAAGATCTGATGGTTATTATAAGGGGAAGTTTTTTGGCACAAGTTCTCTTTCTGCCTGCTGCCACCCATGTAAGATATGCCTTGCTCCTCCTTGCCTTCTGCCATGATTGCGAGGTTTCTCCAGCCACGTTGAACTGTAAATCCAATTAAACCTCTTTCTTTTGTAAACTGCCCAGTCTCAGGTATATCTTTATCAGCAGCATGAAAACGGACTAATATAGCAGGGCTGCTTCAGCTTTTGCCATCAACTGCGTGCTGGCTGGGCCACTTTGCTCATCTTGGCTGGACTTTCTCATTTGTGACACATTCTCCAGAAAGTTCACGTGTGTATGTTCTCAAGATGAAAGCAGAGGAGTGAGAGGGGAGGCAGAATACACAAACACACACCCATGCCTCTGCTGGCATTGGGTTTTCTACTATCCCCCAAGTCAAAGCAAATCCACAGCTACCCTAAGAGTCTGAGAGGAAGGGAACAGCAAAGTCACTGGGCCAAAAGCATGGACCCAGAGTGGCCACCAGTGGTCAGACCTCCACCTGAATTACTCAGATGTCCCCCACCTGCAAAGCATCCTCATCCTCCATCCACAGCCCCTAGAAGTCTAATCCTACCACCAATCCCAGCATCAGGCTTCAAGTCAGGATCTTGTGATTGACATCATCTTGATATTCAGCTGCTGCTATACTCCATCCAGAGGCTTGTGATCTAAAGACAAGCTACCTGTCCCCCACGTGTCCAACATAATGAGAAGACAGGCGCAGGATCATCAAAATAAGCATCGTAGCTCAAATAAAGAAAATGAGCAGCATGCGTAGACAGTGGTCTGCAGAGTTCCAAACCCTCACTCTCAATAGTTGGCAGGTCCCATAATTCAAAAGGAGGAGACAGTCTTTTCTTAAAAGCTCGGTTCTGCACCCTGAAAGTGGCTTTCCAGTCCTTTGGTCATCCTCTCCAGTACCCTTCCATTCCCATCCTCCTTGGCCACTGCCAGATCCTTGGAAGATATGCCTTTTGAGTAATTGTTTCAGGCTGCTTCCTGTCTGTTTGGAAGGTTGGGAGCCACAGCTATGAATGACAACTGTTTTTCAGCCTGGACTCATACATGAAACCAAATTTACGATCAAACTTTGAGGTTGAAAAAAATTCAAACGTGCAAAAGCAAAAATTTAAACCTCTCACAAACTCTTTCATAGGTTGTTTCTGCAGCATATACTTTCCCAAATCAAGTTGATAAAGAGAAGGCCATGATTCAGGGAACAAGGGGACTTACACAGGGTAGAGGCAAGCAGTGTCCGACAGGTTCTGATGTGCGGTGGCCCAGCCATCCTGGAGAAGCGAGGGCTACCTGGGAAATTCTATGTGAATAAAGAGGGGAGGCTGCTTTTCATCTTTTCATGTTGTTTAATGTGTTTGTATTTTTACTTCAAAAGCCCTAAAAGACCAGTCACAACAACCTAGGTGGTCATTTCCACACTACTTCATGGTCCTCTGTCTGCAGGACTGTAAGCAGACAATTTCCACAGGGACAGGTGGGAGGCAGAGATTTAGGCAGCAAATACTGTACAAGGAACAACACAAATCTACTCAACAAAAATCACTTGGGGTCAATGTGGTGGGTGGTCCATGTTACTGGAATGGGGAACTCTGGCTGGGCAGTGAGAAGTAAAATCTGACTGGGAAGTCAGAAACAAACTCTAGAGAAATAGTGACTTTCTTTTCTGAAATCAGAAAAGGGGAGTGAAATGATCAAAGGAGAACTTCCAAAAGGTTCATGAGATGATAAAACATATTAGATAACAAAAATATAGCTTTGAAAGAATAACATGACAAATCTAATCCTGTAAATATTACAATAGTCCATGAAAAACACTTACACTATAGTGATGGCAAAGAGAATGGAAAGGAGATAAAAGTGTGGCAGATTCTAGAATCGAAATTTAAATAAATCCTTAGATTCACTAGAGTAAGGAGACAGTTGTGAAGGACTGGCTATACTAGAGTGAAGGCTCCAGCTGGAAACTATAATGTTCTGTGCACAACACCATAGAATCTGGAGAATGAAAAAGACAATTGTGCCAAATAGCCAGAGATTCAACAGGCAAAACACAAAAAGCTTGATTTTTTAAAGATATTCTGTTTTTATCATGACAAAGAAAAGAGAAATGAGTAGGACAGAGTAAGCTACTCCAAATTTTTATTAGAAAAGAAGGAGAAATCAGTGGGAAGGTCCAGGTAAAATTTTTTAATTGACATGATTTTTTTTAAGTAAGTTGTATCATGTATATTTAAGTTATACGACAGCGGTCCCCAACCTTTCTGGCACCAGGGACTTGTTTCATGGAAGACAGTTTTTTCCATGGATCGCTGTGGAGTGGCAAGGGGTGAGGGGGGTGTGCGGGGGCAGGATGGTTACAGGATGAAACTGTTCCACCTCAGATCATCAGGCATTAGATTCTCATAAGGAGCACACAACCTAGATCCCTTGCATGCACAGTTCACAATAGGGGTTGTGCTCTTAGGTGAACCTAATGCCCCCACTTATCTGACAGGAGGTGGAGCTCAGGCCATAATGGTTGCTAGCCTGCAACTCACCTCCTGCTGTGTGACCCCATTCCTAACAGGCCATGAACTGGGGGTTGGGGACCCCTGATATACAACATAATGTTACGAGATTCACATGGAGAGAAAACAGTTACTAAAATTAGGCAAATTAATATTATCTATTGTGTCACATAGTTACCTTTTTTGATGGCTAGAACAGCTAAAAGCTCCTTATTTAGCATGAATCCTATATACAGTACAGTTTTACAACTTATATTCCTCATGCTGTGCCTTAGATCTTGAGAGTCATTCATCCTACAGCTGCCATTTTGTGTCCTTTGAGCTACATCTCCCCTCTTTTCCCCTGCCTCTGGTAGCCACTGTTTTGCTCTCTATTTCTGTGTATGTATGTATGTATGTATGTATGTATGTATGTATATATATATATAATATATATTTAATTCCACATATAAATGAGATCATGCAACCATTTTCTTTATGTGTCTGGCTCATTTGACATAGCATATCTCCTAGGCTAACCCATGTTGTGGCAAATGGTGAGATCTTGTTCTTTTTCAGGGCCAAATAATATTCCATTGTGTATATGTACTACAGCTTCTTTATCCATTCATCCCTCAATGGACACTTAGGTTGTTTACATATTTTGGTTATTGTGAATGCTGCTTCAATGAACATGGGAGTGCAAATGCCTTTATGAGGTGGTGATTTCATTTCCTTTGAGTATATTCCCAGAAGGTTGGATGCTGGGTCATATTGTAGGACTATTTTTAGTTTCTTTAGCAACCTCCATACTATTTTCCATAATGACTGTACCAATCTACATTCCCACCAGCAGTGTACAAGAATTCTCATTTCTCCACACCCTTGCCAACATTTATCTTTTGACTTTCTGATACTAGCCATCCTAACGAGTATAAGGTACTATCTTATTATGATTTTGACTTACATTTCCTGTTGATTAATGATGTTGAGCATGTGCTCATATGCCTTTTGGCCATTTCTGTGTCTTCTTCTGAGAAACATCTGTTCAGATTTTTTGCCTACTTTTCAGTTAGGTTATTTCTTTTTCCACTATTGAGTTGTGTAAGTTTTTTATAAAATTATAAAACTTTGGATATTGACCCCTTATCTGATAAAGAGTTTGCAAATATTTTTCCCCAATCCACAGTTTACTGTTTCACTTTGTTGTTTCCTTTGCTCTGCATAAGATTTTTAGTTGGATGAAGGCCCACTTTATTTATTTTTGCTTTTGTGGTCTGAGTTTTTGGTATAATAATTAAAAAAAATCATTGCCAAAGCCAGTGTCCAGGAACTTTCCCTTGTGTTCTCTTCTATGGGTTGTACAGTTTCTTGTCCCACATTTAGATATTTTATCCATTTTGAACTGATTTTTGTGTTTGGTGCAAGATAAGTGTCCAATTTCATTCTTTTGCATGTGGAATCCAGTTTTCCCAGCACCATTTACAGAAGAGACTGTCCTTTCCCCATTGTGTCCTCTTAGTGCCCTTAATCAAAAATTACTTGACTGTTTCTGTTTACATTTATTTCTGGGCTCTCTATTCTGTTCCACTGGGCTATCTGTCCCTTTTTATGTTCACAAACCATAGTATCTGGTGAACAAACAGACTCATAACAAATATTCAGAGATTCAATCTACCAAACACAAAAAGCTTAATTTTTTTAACTCTTCTATTTTTTTAATTAGAAGGAAGACAGAAACCAGTGGGAAAGAGTAAACTACTCTAAGTTTTTAATTAGAACCAAAGGAGAAATCAGCGGAAAGGACCAATTAAAGTATTTGTAACTCATATGACATAGCTTTAATTTTTTCATTTAATTGGAAATTGGAGAGGACATTAGGGGATATTTTGAATGAACAAATTACACACATATGTAATTTCAGTATCAGTTATACAAAAATAATTATCTTAAATCGTTTGAATATTTTTCTAATAGGTACTTTAAATGAAATTAAGCATTTGACCACATGGAGCATTAACTAAGCTTTGAAACTGAAAGTTATATAGAGAGAGGTTTCCAGGAGATTATCTTAGCAGAGAAAAAGGTGCATGGGATGTAAGACACAAATAAATAAAAGACAAAGCAGCAACTTCACAGAAAGAAGAAAGAAAAAGGGGCTATGCGACATTAAAAGGAACCTCTCGTCTATCTTCCAAAGTTAATAACGCTATGGTAAATGTTGTGACAACGTATTGCATGTCATAAAAATAATATATGTATACATATTCAATAAGAGTGGAGAATCCACAAACATTATATTATTGAGATTTATGGCAGCCCAGACAATTAAGAGCTAGAATATTAGAAATGAGTTCCTTCAAGAAATTTGGGGCTGAGGAGCCCAGTACAGGAAGGCTTTCTGGCAATGTTGCCAAAGCATCTACATTAAACTTGCATAAACATTGAGAATAGTGAAACCACATGGCCTTGACTTCTGCTTCTGAAGATGTGTTAAGTCAGGTGAGCTAAAGCTCAAGAGCCACTCCCTCACCTCAAAACTATGAGAACAAGAACAAGGAGGCCAAAACTGTTTTCCCCTATCTTCCTTTCTAAACACAATCAGAAACCCTGGAAATAATGCAAGAAGCAACCAAAGGGGAACTCTGAAGGTAGAAAGAGGAAGAACTGGTGAGGAGCCCAGGACCAGGAGAACAGAACACAAAGCAGCAGAATGTCCAGGGACCTCCTACCCACCAGAAGACAGTCATCAGGCTTGGCATTTCTGATCCCAACCTGAAAACAGAAGGAGGTCCAGGGCTGCTCCTTCCTTCAGGGATAAAACCTTCTAATCAGTACAAGCAGGCAAGCTGGCACTTTTGTCAAGGAGATGAATCAGAAGCCCCCTGACAAAAAACTAGCAGTGGACGGCTGTTTCCTCTTTCTAGTACCTAGCTGTCAGTTGCCCTGGCTGCCATGAATATCACTAAAGCATCATTTATTTTTTCACTCTCTGAGATATGTGTGTGTGTTTGTGTGTGTGTTTGTATGTGTGTGTGTGTGTGTGTGTGCATGCCTAATTCCTAAGAAGTCATAAAATCACCATAGTGCCATAGTTCCTTTGTCTGCAGGGAGAGATACTTCCCTGCTTCACCAAGAGACACTGAGAAGCCAGTCATCACTGACAAAGAGGATTCTCCAGCCACAGCAGCCCAAATGGAGAAAGATCACTTCATCACCAGTTTCTCTACTCCACCTGGTGGCACCTGGAGGCCTGGCCTGGGGAATGTCCTTCCGCTGCCTCAGGCAGCACCTACAGGGACCAGTGGGAGTCCCAGTAGACTAGATAAACCAAACAGATGAAATAGCACCATGGAGGTTCTGCAAACTAAAGTGATACTGTAACCACAGCCCACAAGACATTCCGCAGATAAATCTTGAAAGCAGTTAGAGCAAAGAGATACATTTCCTATAGGAGTTCACCAATATGGATGACAGCAGAATTTTCATCTGAAAGCCTGGAGACCACAAGGAAGTAGCACAACAGTTTTCAAACGTGGAAACCAAAAAAGCTGTCAACTGAAAGCTGTGTAGCTGAGAAAACTGTTTTTCCTTTAGGCATGTAGGAGCAATAAAGACATTCTCAAACTAAGTAAAGCAAATAATTTGTCACTAGCAGAACTTGCATTAAGGAATAGCTCAATGAAACTCCTGAAACAGAAAGAAAATGAGAAAATGGCAGACGTTAAGCACTAACATATCAATAATTAATAGTTAAACAAACGATTACATTCATTTCATGGAATATTACTCAACAATGAAAAGAAACACCCTAATGGTACACACATTAATGTGAATGAGTCTCAGAGAAACATGTGGAATGAAAATGTCTAATCCAAAAGGCCACATATTACATGATTTTATCTATATGACATTCTTGAAATGACAAAAATTATGAAAATGGAGAACATGTTAGTGGTTGCCAAGGGTTTGTAATGGAACAGGGGAGAGAGTAGGAAAGGATGGAGGTGCATGTGGCTATAAAGACAACATGAAGGATCCTTGTGGTGTTGGAATTTTTCTGTGTCTTAATTTTAGTGGAAAGATCATCCTAGATGCACAATAAAAATGCATAGAACTAAACAAACACAAAAAGATTAATGGAATGTATTAATGTCAATTGGTTGTGATATTGTATTATGATTTTGCAAGATGTTCCCACCTGAGTAAAGAGTACATGAAATCTCTCTGGATTATTTCTTAAGATGGCATGCCAATCTATAGTTATCTCAAAATAAAAGGTTTAATTTTTTAAGTGACAGGCAATATGATACGTTTTGGGATATGGAAGTAAGCAAAAAGGATTCTGCTCCCATTGACATTATATTTAAAGGTACTGCCAGACACTGTGCTTTCAAATATGTATAGACTTAGAAAAAAGAAACTACTAGAACCTACTACAAAGGCTAAATAAAATACATTAAACATCCTTACAATTGAGGATGAGCAATTTCTTATGAACATACTTGAGCTTATAAGAAGTTGCTCTCCCCAGGGGATGCACAGACCAGATTGATAAGGACACACCCCTATCACATGCACCTTGTGAGTGCCTGCTGATGCTAGGACTCAGGACTCAGGATTTTAATATCCATATATCCAAGTGGGGATGGCAGGTAAACACTTGTTTCTGTACAAGTGTGTAGGTCATATATAGTCGGAACCAAACACATACGAAAATAAATGAGCCAGAAAAAATTGTTTTCTCCAATGAATAGAAGAGAAAATCTAACTAAGTCCATCTCAACCTTGAGTGAAGTAGGGAAATAAAACATTTCTTAGATATTTAAAATACTGCTAAGACCTCACCTGGGGGTGAAACTTATACTACCAGAATTATCCAGGATTCCAAGATCAAGAAATAAAGTGCTTCTGAATTAATAGCCCTCTAGGACAACCTGAAGAAACAAACTCAAAAGCTTTTGAAGGAAAGCACTCTCTACCACACCCTTCATATGATAAAGCTCAAAATTCAAATAGTATACACCTCTTTCAGATTTAAAGGCAACAGAAACAAAAGTAAAAAGTATAGCACCCAAACACTACAGCTAATGGGATTTCCAATTATCAAATATGAAATAACTATGTTTATAAAGTTAAGCCTTATAAACATAGTTATTTTATATTTGATATTATATTGATTTACATGTTTAAGTTTAATAAAAAGATAATTCAAAGAATTTAGAAAAGAGTTCAAATATAAATATCCAGGCAAGTTGAATATGTATTTGATGAAATTTTTTAGAAGCCAAATTAAGAGAAAAATAGTGACATGAAAATGGGTCTTCGGCGGGGCATGAAGGCTCACACCTGTAATCCCAGCACTTTGAGAAGCCGAGGCGGGTGGATCATCTGAGGTCAAGAGTTCGAGACAACTCTGGCCAATATGGTGAAACCCCATCTCTACTAAAAATACAAAAATTAGCCAGGCATGTTGTCAGGCGCCTGTAATCCTGGCTAATTGGGAGGCTGAGGCAGGAGAATAGCTTGAACCCAGGAGGTGGAGGTTGCAGTGAGGTTGTAGTGAGCCAAGACCACACTATTGCATTCCAGCCTGGGCAACAAGAAGGAAATCCATCTCAAAAAAGAAAAGAAGAAAAGAAAAGAGAAAAAGAAAAGGAATCTTTAGAAATTACAGCAAGCTGCCTACAACAGACCCACCCAATGGGTAGACAGTCACAGACTCAAAGTAAAGAGGTGAAAAAAAAGGCATGCTACGAAAACAGAAAACAAAAATGAACAGGAGTTGCCATGCTTATATTAGATAAAACGGACTGTAAAATAACAACAGTAAAAACAAAAAAGACAAAGGTTATTATACAGTGATAAGAGGTTTGATTCAACAAGAAGATATAACTATTCTAAATATGTATGCACCCAACACTGGAGCACTCAGATTCATTAAACAAATATTACTAGACCTAAGAAAAGAGACAGACAGCAATACAATAATACTGTGGAATTTCAGCATCCCAGTCATAGCACTAGACAGATCATCAACCAAGAATCTCTGGGCTTAAACTGCACTCTAGACCAAACGGACCTACCAGATATTTACAGATTATTTTATTTAAAGCAATAAATATACATTTTTGAGACATTCTCCAAAATAGACCATATGCTTAGCCATAAACCAAGTCTCAAAAAACTCAAAAGAAATCAAAGTCCTATCAAGTATCTTCTCAGACTACAATGGAATAAAATTAGAAATCAATACCAAGAGAAACTCTCAAACCTATACAAACACATAGGAAATAAACAACTTTCTCCTGAAGAATTTTTGGGTAAGTGACAAAATTAAGGCAGTAGTCAAAAAAAAGTTTGAAATGAATGAAAATAGAGATATACCAAACCCTCTAGGACACAGCAAAAACAGTGCTAAGAGGAAAGTTTATAGTGTTAAACGCCTCTATCAAAAAGGTAGAAAGATCTCAGATTAACTACCTAACATCACATTTCCACAACTAGAAAAACAAGAACAAACCAAACTCAAAGCTGGAAACATTAGAGCAGAACTAAAATAGATAGAGACCAAAAAATAAGGGACAAAGGATCAATGAAATAAAATATTGGTTCTTTGAAAAGATAAACAAAATTGATATCCCAACAGCTAGATTAACCAAGAAAAAAAGAGAGAAGATTCAAATAAGCACAATTAGAAATAATAAAGGGGGCATAACACCTGATACCACAGAAATATAAAAGATCATCAGAATATGCTACAAACATCCTCATGTGCACACACTGGGAAACCTAGAGGACATGGATAAACTCCTGGAAACATACAACCTCCCAAGACTGAACCAGGAAAACAAACAAACAAACAAACAAAAACAAACAAACCCTCTAATAGACCAATAACAAGTAAAGAAATTAAAGCCATTGTAAAAAATCTTCCAGCAACAAAAAAACCCACTAGACAGAATCACAGCCAAATTTTTCTAGACATACAAAAGTGAGTTGGTACCAATCCTACTGAAACTATTCCAAAAGATCAAGCAGGAGGGAATCCCCTACCTTATTCTTTGATACCAGTCTTACTCTGCTATCAAAATTAGACGAGGGCACAATTAAAGAACGAAATAGACAAATATTCCTCATGAATATATATGCAAAAATCTTCAATAAAATACTAGCAAACAAAATCCAACACCACATCAAAGAGATAATATACCATGATCAAGTGAAATTTATCCTAGGAATGCAAGGATGGCTCAACATATACAAAACAATAAATGAATTCACCACATCATAAACAAAATTTAAAACAAAAACCACATGATTATCTCAATAAATGCAGAAAATGTATTTGATAGAATCTAACCTCCATTCAGGATAAAAACAACCATAAAAATGCAGACATTGAAGAAACATATCTCAAAATAACAAAAGCCATATATGACAAACCTACAGCCCGCATCATACTGAATGGGCTGCAGTTCAATCTGAGCCTGAATATCCCTCCACCCCAGTGCCATAGATCTCACAGAATTATTGTTAGAATTAAATTATGCACAATTATATATTAAACATATCATATATTATTATATGCATATATTATCTAAATTAATTTTCCTAATATTCACATCAATTTGTATTTTAATACAACATATAAGAAAATTGGAGCACCTAGGGATTAAGTAACTTGCTCAAGGTCATACAGTTAGTAACAGACAAAGCCAAAATTTGAAACAAGCAGTTTACATCCATAACTCATGCTGTTAATCATAATACATATGGCCTCTCAATAAATGCAGAAAACTTTTATAAAGTTCAGCTCCATTCATTGTTTCAATATGACTTGTATTTTAAATAAACTAGAAATACAGGAGAGTTTATTTACTAACTACACATAGGTAATTTCTACCAAAAAAAAAGCATATGAAATGGTGAAATAGTAGATGGCTTCCTTTAAAATCATAAGAAACAATGCACAATATTAGCACTTCTGTTCAAATTAATTTGAGGACTAGCATTTCAGTAACACCAAAGTTAAATAAATAAATGTGTAGATATAAGAATCATGAATAAAATATCAAAAGTGTCATTATGTGTATAATTTTTTTGAAAAATCACAACAGTATCTACAGAAAAATTTCAAAACTAACATCAATTCAGAAATTGATGAAAAAATAAATATATAAAATCTACTTGTTCCACATCTAATCATAATGGAGCAATCAGAAGTAGGCTTATTCTTCTGCCCTGAGTATTTGAAAAACTGCCCAAAATAAATAAAATGCTTGTTTGTAGACATTGAGAAACATGCAGTGCAGGACTGTAAACCACCACCCCCCATCCCTGACACACACAATATTGCGATCCCTTTTAGCCTGAAGACACATTTTCAACTACGGTGAAGGGTAATGGTCCCAAGCAGAGATCACTGGACTTGCTGAGTAGACAAGATAATAAATCTCAGTTCAGAGAGGCTGTGATGGCTGTCAATTGTGGGGCAGATTTTTGGAGAAAAAGGAGCTACACAGAAAAGAAGCTCTAGAAATCTTCAGAGACCTCCTTGTGTCTTTCCTGACATCAAGCTGCACATGCATAAGGAAATATTCCATGAGTCCAGAAAAAGGAACTACCAAGGAACTCAAGTCTACCCTAACAAAATTTGGTAACAACTCTCAAAAGGATAAAGCTAACCAAAAATGTAACTCCCTACCAAAAATCTTTAAAAGAAAAAAGAGTCACGCAATCGACAACCAAAAAAATCAGAATGTCTGATAGTAAACCAGTATTTATTAAACAAAAGTAGAAGCAGAGAAATATGATCCATACTCATGAGAGGGAGAAAAGTCAATCAATAGAAACAGAAGCAGAAGTGGCAGATGTGTTAGAATTTACAAAGGAGTTTTAAATGACTATAACAAAATGAAATGTCCCAGCAAAGCTGTCTCTTGTGGGGAAAGTCAACATTCTGTAGAGAATCTCCTTCCCTTTCCAGGCCTTTTTCCTTATCCAGGAGAGAATTAACTAAAAGTCTGGTACCTTGTTAAGTCTGATAAGAAACATTTACAATCTATTCTCTCTGAAGCCTGCTACCTGGAAGCTTCATCTACATAATAAGAATGTTGGTCTCCAACACCCCTTACCTTAACCCAGCCACTCCCTTCTATTGGTTCCAGGTCTTTATATAAACTTTCAATCAACTGACAATCAGACAATCTTTGAATCCAACTTTGACCAGTAAGCTTCCCCGCTTTGATTTGCCCCATCTTTCTGGACCAAAACAATGTGCATCTTACTGATACAGGAGTTAAGAAGAAATTACTTAGGCAGATAGTGAGGGTATAGAAATCCTCAGCAAGTGCTTCCTTTTAATGAAAAGCAGTCCCAAATCATTTTCCTTTCTAGCAAAGAGCCCCCTGGATCTCCAATTTTTCTATGGTAATTTCCTCCTTTCCTGTCTGCAATCACAATACCTCCTATCCTCTCTGTGTCGGGAAGTTTTACAGTTCAGGGAAGTAATCTCTTTTGGCAAGATCAGGGAACGTTGTAGTAACCAGAGATATAGGTCAAGGGAAGGAGTCTTTGTGATTTTCTAGGAACAGAGGGTACCCAAACCCCCAACACAGTGAGTGTCACTCTCCGCCCTTGGTCTGGAGAGCACATGGCATTCGCAGGTCTCTCTGCTCTTGGTCTGAAGAGCACATGGCATGTCAAGGTCACTCTGCCCTTGTTCCGGAGCGCACATGGCATTTCAAGGTCAACAGCGCCACCTAGTGGACTAGCGACCCTCTCCATGAGGCACATTGTTGGTCCATTACCAAAACACCTAGCTTCCCAATTATCTTCCCCTTTTGCATCTCTCTACTAGAAACCAGACTTCATGCTGCTTCTCTGAATGGGAAAATTCTGCCTTCAACAATTAGGAGTAAAATATACTCCGAAGCCAAATTTTAGTCTTGACACTGTAACATCAGCAGGAAAATGGTTATTTTGTTCCAATATTCTTTTAGGGTACCAATTCAGCCTCCAATGAGAATGGCACTTAATAAATAAGTGGATTCTAAGTCAGGAAGTTAACCAGAACCATTCTCTAAGGGTAAATGCTTTAACACGAGCCATAATAGCAGGATATAGAGTTCAATCTGCCATGCCCCCTCCATTAAAGGGGCCTGGTCAACTATTACATAGTTTTTTTGAGATCCATTTTACAGGAAGCCACCCAGGTCACAAAAGTCCAGGAAGTCAAAGGGAAATCACAGACAGAGGACTAGAGTCACTTGGGTGAGCTTGACTAATCCCAGTTGCTTAGTTCCTCTGGTTCAATGGTTGGGGGTCATTCCTGCAACCACAGGTGGTACATTCAACAAGGTGCCTGGACCCAGAAACCATGGAGGGAAAGCAGCAGCGGGGATGCCCCCACTGTCTTCCCCTCTGCCCTGAGTCACACCAAAAGGAAAGAGACTAAAGGGATGACTTTTTATCACTTCTCTTTCTAGAGGGGTAACGTATCATCTTCGGCTTGCATCCCTCTGGAGGGCATTCTGAAGCATGAGGACTCCTTTGACTCTGAAACTTTAAAGAAAAAGTGGCTCATTTGCTTTGGTACAAAGGCCCGGCCTCCTTACTAGAACTTCGCAGGCATTACAAAATCAACCCACCACTTTTCATAGTCATATCAAAAGCCTATAAAGAATGATTCTGCAAAGTTAGAGAAGCAACTTCCAGGGGAATCATTTGAGGATCTCCCTTAGTTTGGGCTCCCTCAAGTTCCCTTCTCATTACAGGACCTTAGGGAAATAAAGGGAGACTTAGGCTGATTTTCTAATGACCCTGATATTTATATAGAAGCTTTCCAAAATTTAAATCAGGTGTTTGACCTCCCATGAAGGGATTTTTGCTGCTTCTAAGCCAAACTCTAACTGCAGGTGAAAAACAGGCAGTCCTGCAGGCTGCAGAGGATTTCGGAGATGAGCAGTATGTCTCCTATAATAGGCAAAAAGGGAAAAGAGAAAATCGGGAAGGTGAAGAAATAGGGGAAACACCACTGCTGATAGGAAGCGAAGTAGTACCTCTTGACAACTCTAATTGGAACCCCCCCCCCCGGACTTTTCTCTGGTATTTTTCCTTCTTTCATAGTTTCAAATGCTTCTATCTTCTTTTACAATGTTCTTCCAATCTGGAAAAAGTTAATTTTCGAAACCTTAAAATGCTTGGTTTAGAGGAAAGGGAACCCAGAAGCCTGACATGCCAGCAAAATGGTAAAAATTTCTTACCAGTCAGGCTTTTGTCTTCTCTCTCCCTGTGCAATCTGGTAAAAGGGATAATAAGGATCATTGTTTATATTCTCTATTAAGTTTTAATTAATGAAAAAGGATTTGTGAGGTTGGTCTTAAGCTGTAGCCAATCTGGTGTGTATTGTGTGACTTTCTGCATAGTTCTGTCAAAAAAAAGGGTACCTTAGGTTAGCATGCAGAGTCAGAACCCCATAAGCCTGCTATTCAAGCCAGCCCAACAAAATGGTCAGTAACAAACTTGGATACAGGCCTCCATCTTGTTTCGTGTCCTTGGGAATATGACCTGTAACCGCCTGTTTAATACTTTGTTTTAGTCTCTGCCATTTTACAATGGTCACTGTTTTTTGTTTTCTTCACAGAAAAATTAAGAGGAAGGTACAAGTATTTCCCATCTACTCCCTTCCCCCACACATGCACAACCTCCCCCCACTATCCACATCTGCCACCGTGGTGCACGTGTCGCAGTCAATGAGCCTACCGTGACACATCCAAGGTCGACTGTGCACACCAAGGCTGACTCTTGGTGTTGTACATCCTATGGGTTTGCACAGAGGCATAATGACATGTGTCCACCATTGTAGTATCATACAGAAGAGTTTCACTGCCCTAAAAATACTCTGTGATCCACCTATAGTACATCAGTTTTCATTTAAATAAAAGACATTTTTCCTAAAATAATTTAGGTTGAGAATGGATATATCATAACATTCTGGGAGCCCACAAACGAAGAAGTAACTGACAATTGGTAATGGAATTAAACCAGTAGATTGCTTTTGAGATGGTGCTGATTGTCTGCCCTTTGGTGCAGCATTGCCACCTACGACTGAAATTGCTGCTCCCCGACCCCATCTCTAAGCATTTGCTTCTCTAACTTTCTCATAAGAAAACAAGTAGGCCAGGCGCAGTGGCTCACGCCTGTAATCCCAGCACTCTGGGAGGCCAAAGCGGGCAGATCACGAGGTCAGGAGATCGAGACCATCCTGGCTATCACGGTGGAACCCCATCTCTACTAAAAATACAAAAAATTAGCCTGGCGTGGTGGCGGGTGCCTGTAGTCCCAGCTATTTGGGAGGCTGAGGCAGGAGAATGGCGTGAACCAGGGAGGTGGAGCTTCCAGTGAGTCGAGATTGCGCCACTGCACTCCAGCCTGGGCCACAGAGCAAGACTCTGTCTCAAAAAAAAAAAAAACAAAAAACAAAAAACAAGTAGCCCTGAGGTCGCAAAAAAGTTCCCTTTTCTTGGTTCTTCACTACAAGGAATTTCATGTCATATTAAAAAGGGTCACATGTTCCAGATTATCTCAAAAACAATGAGCTCCACTTTAAAGAGTGAGTTGGGGAGGAAATTGGGCAAAGCAAGTAATGTAGGTCTTTGGAAATCAGCTTAAGAAACAAGAAAATAGGAGACTTCAATGCTATAGGGAGAGGGGCTACCCAGCCTCCATTCAGCTTTTTTCTTTCTCTCCTCTGAAAATTCCATTGACATTTTCTCCTGGATTTTCTTATTCAGAGACATCAAAGAAGTAACATTTCCTCCCACAGATATGTTGTCACGATGTGCAGCTCCTACCCAGCAGATACCCAAAGACAACATTTGGGATCAGGAACCAGTCGTGGCACCAAACATGAATGAAGCCAGAGCCAAAAAAAGGTATGAGGACTGAGTGCCATCTGGAGGTGACTATGACTTTCCTAGACTAAAGCACTATTTGTGAGGCAAATCCATTTTTGCAACATCTTTTCAAGGGACCCTTACTTCGAATAATGTGATCATGGTTTCCCTGGAGAGATGCAAATTTGTGATTAAAAGCCCAAACCTCTTCTTACGTGTTTAGGAATTTTCCAAGTTATTGAGAATGAGTAACACCAGCATAGAGTCCCTCCTTGCGCTGTCCAAGCATCCACCGGGATATTTATATGCACGAAGACGTCTGTTTCCTGCACTTTCGTTCCTAACTGGCTCCTAGGGTGGTCCCTGAAGTCGTTGTGGGCCTGCAGGCCTCTACACTAACCAACCTAAATGCCTGATCCTGCCAGTTGGATGCTGCAGTCTGCTGGCATATGGGCAGTGTTAAAATGGTTAAAACTCTTCCAGGGCTTAGAGGAATTCAGACCACCAGAGCTCCATCAATTAAAAACTGATAACACTCATTCTACTTGGGCCTCCTCCAGCACAGCATTCTGCTCTGCCCCATCTCCAGTTGGTTTGACTTGGTACATTTCCTAAACACAAGGGCCAGGTGTCCAGCACTGCCAAGCTGAATGTCATTTCCATTTTGAATGGAAATTAGCAATTCAAATTTAATTCCACTTTAAATCTTTCAGAATCATTTATAAAGATAACCTGATTTTCAGCAAAGCTAGACGCTTCTGACAAGAGTTCCCTGCTTGTTGTAGACATTCAATAAATGATGATTGATTTTTTTGAAAATCATCAATTCTTTCTACTAGTGATGGTTTGATGATCAATTTTAAGCCTAACTGGAGAATACACCAATTTTATTAGGCTGAGTACAATATTAGCAAGATGATTCAAGTAAAGAAGTTAATTACCACAAGGCACAATTTCTCAAGACTCAAATTATGTCAAACTAGAGGTATTCATTTTATAGTGTTGATGTCAATAAGCCTCTCTATGTGTGTTTAGTAATCCTATGCACAGATTGATCTTCTAATATTATCTTCCAAGGTCCAAGAAAAGAAAGCTTGAGCTTTTGGAAACTGTGTAGCTATTAAGAGCTTTAATTTGAAAGCAGAACCTCCATCTTTACTATCTCTAGGAATTTTTGAATTTAAATGACTTAAAATATCAAACCGGTATACTGACCATTTTCGTTCCAAGACTCAAATCAATAAACTCTCTAAATCTAATAGTTTCAATAATAGAACTACTCAATCATTCGCTCACAGATATCAGGATGCATGTAATGACAGTCTAGAGCAGCTTAAAAGATAATTAAATTAACACTGTTCATCTTCCTGAGGACTGCCAGAAAAGATGAGAGAAATAAATAAAAGGTTGAAGACAAACTCCAAACTCATTTAGCATGACATTCTCTCTTTTCATAGAATTCCAATGGAAATAAATAGAATACAATCCACAATGATTCTCTAATGCTTTCTCTTCTTTTTACTCTGATAATACTGACTGTGGTTAATGGAAAAATAGGATTAATGGAACACCTCTTAAATGCATGCACACATTTTAATGCTCACACAAGACTGCTCCAGGGCGTAAATCCAGGCGGTGCCAACCACCTTGTAGTGTGTCGGAATAATATGCCCTGGCGTTGTGCAGCACACAGCACACTTAAAATTTGTATAAGGAAGTAAAAAAGAAAGAATTCAACCTACAACCAAGTTTCTCTTAGTTCGATTTATAGGACAACAAGATTTTCCTGAATTATCTGATTTTTTATTTATAAAATAAATAGATTTCCTAAGAATTTTTAACAAATTAAAACATTTCCATTATATTCAAGGTAAAACATCAATAAGTCTTTAATCACAGTTATCAGTACCTATGGTTAAGAATATTTAACAACAGAACTTTGGAATTTACTGCCTACTAATAACTCTCAGCTCAGAGGAAAAAGTATTTTAAAAATGTAACCCACAGTCTGGTCTTTTAGTCTGAATATAAAATATTTAGGGATAAAATAAGAGTTCATAGATACTTTAAAATTCTATTAGTTTTCTTTTGTTAATGTGTCCTAAAGATAGACGACATTAAAAAAATTTTAAATACGAGAATAATATTTTGACTTACAAGATCTTATTAAATATTTAGAAATTATCACAAATATATCAGTTTGACCTATAGTTTAATATATGGTGGTTTAATATATATATATGAGTTTTATTCTACCCATTATAATAAATATAGTCCAGTACCCCTTCCCTTGTAATATGTTTATTTTACATGAAAAAGCTGACACAGGATTCATTTCATTATATAATCTTGACTCACTACAAGTAATGAAGAGCCTTATTAATATTAAATATTTTCTCATTAATATACTAAAATCAGAAAAGTCTGGTCTTTCATGTAAGTGTTTGGAAATCATCACTCCTTTCTAATAAAAAGTCAAAAGCTGAACAAACCGAAAAATCAACAATGCTTCTTACTGTCAGAGAAACAAGGCCACAGGGCAAAGCACTGCCCCACGTTGGAGAGACCTACGGGCAGATACAGAGATTGACAGCTGACCAGAGCAGAACCCCCACACAACCAGGGGCAGGGCGGGGAAACCGAAATGGTAACTGGCACATGGCTGCAGGCTCAGTGTGAACAAGTCTGAGAGTGAAAAACACCAGGGGGACCCAGTCATTCAGGGATCCGACACTTTTGTGAGTCATAGCTCCAGGACCTCTGAGAAGCTTTCACAGTGAGGATCAGAGAAAAATCTTCTTATGCTGCTGGCAGGGGCAGGGGGACAGAAACCACTTGAAATACACTAGAGCATCCTGTTCATCCTAGCCAGGAGAAACCATATAACCAGAGCCCAGCCTACTGGATTTTTCATATCTGGGAGAAAGGAAGTACCCAATTTCAGCCCATGCTAGCCATCCTGTCCCACTTAAGGGAAGCAGGGTGACCAAAACATACCTGTGAAGTTCATAGTGCAAAGGCCCAATCTTGCTAAAAGACTAAGACCTACTCATAGAGCTCTACAGTGCTTACCCACCATCACACAACCACAGGCTTATTAGCTGCAGTTTTTAAGAAACCCATTATATCATGTACACCTATCAGAAAATACGGCAAAGCATCCTAAAATGAGAAAAACACAGTTTGAAGAGACAGAGCGAACATTTGAACCAGACTCAAATATCAAAGGGATTTTGGAATTCTCAAACTGGGTACTTAAAACAACTATGAATACTCTGTTAAGGGCTCTAATGGACAAAGCAAGCAGCATGCAAAAACAAATGAGTGATGTTACTAGGCGCATGGAAATTCTAAGAAAGAGTCAAAAGGAAACACCAGAGAGAAACACAGAAACAGAAACGAAGAATGCTTTTGATAGTGTCATTAGTAGACTGGCCATGGATGAAGAAACAATTTGCACTTGAGTATATGGCAATAGAAACTTCCAAAACTGAGAAGCAAAGAGAAAGAAAGGACCAAAACAAAAGAGCTGAATATCCACCAAGTATGGGATGACTGTGAAAGGTTTAACTATGTGTAATGGGAACACTAGAAGAAGTAGATAGAAATAGAGAAAGGAATAGAAGAAATATTTGAAGCAGTAACTGAAAATTTAATTCAAGTTACTATCAAACACCAAACCTCAGATGGTAAGCTCAGAGAGTACCAAGCAGGATAAATGTCCCCCCCAAAAAAACCGCATCAAGACACATTAGTCAGCACTTTGAGAGGATGAGGCGGGTGGATCACTTGAGGTCAGGAGTTCGCAACATGGCAAAACCCCGTCTCTACTAAAAATACAAACATTAGCCGGGAGTGGTGGCACACGCTCGTAATACTAGCCACTTGGGAAGCTGAGACAGGAGAATTCCTTGAACCCAGGCGGCGGAGGTTGCAGTGAGCCGAGATCGCATCATTGCACTCCAGCCTGGGCAACAGCCTGGGCATCTGCCTCGGGTTATATGAAGACTGTCTCAAAAAAAAAAAAAAAAAGACACATTAGTCAAACTTCAGAAAATAAAAGGTAAAGAGAAAATATTGAAAGACACAGGGGAAAAATACCTTAACCTCTAGGGGAGCAAAGATCAGAATTACGTACAACCAACTTTTCCACAGACACCATACAGCAAGAAGGCAGTGAAGTCAAATATTTTAAGTGTCAGAGAAAAAGAACACCAAGGTAGAATTCTGTACCCTACACATTACCCTTCAAAAGCAAAGAAGAAATAAAGACTTCCCAGACAAGCAAAAATTTAGGGACGATTTTGCCAGTACATCTGCCTTGCAAGAAAGGTTAAAAGAAATTATTCACAGAGAAGGAAAATGATATAGGTCACGTGAGAAACAAACTCACCCATCCAAACCCAAAGAATACACTCAGAGACACAGAGAACAGCAGAAGCGAGACTTTAATGGCAGTCTTGCAAACGGTTTCAACAAGGAATTTATGCCCTAGTGTGCAAGTTCCTCCCCCAGTTCGTCATTGGCTGAATACTATGGGGTTACAATTTTCCTGGACGTTGTCTATTGGTAGTTGGATTAAGGCTTCAAGTATGTTATTTAGGGTCTTTTTGGTGCACTTTATTGCAGCCCATAATGCATTGTGACTGTCTCAGGACTCTTTAAACATTTGACTTATGGCCCTAATGTCTACACTTAGCTGATAAGAAAAGGTACAATTGGCTGGGCGAGGTGGCTCAAGCCTGTAATCCCAGCACTTTGGGAGGCCGAGGCGGGCGGATCACAAGGTCAGGAGATTGAGACTATCCTGGCTAACACAGTGAAACCCCCGTCTCTACTAAAAATACAAAAAAATTAGCAAGCGTGGTGGCGGGCGCCTGTAGTCCCAGCTACTGGGGAGGCTGAGGCAGGAGAATGGCGTGAACCCGGGAGGCGGAGCTTGCACTGAGCCGAGACCGCGCCACTGCACTCCAGCCTGGGCGACAGAGCGAGACCCCGTCTCAAAAAAAAAAAAAGAAAGGGTACAATTATCTATGTTGCAAGCTAGCCTAAACTAAATTCTTTCGTGGGGTGGGGAAGGGGTAGTTAAGGGGGGCAGCCAACTGATAGGCGCCTGGCTGCTGGGTGACAGGAAAAGCAGGAAGAAGGGAGGAGGTGGCTCGTGGCTCCGTACATTCTGCTTCTTTATTTCTTTATTTCCATGAAGCCTGCTTAAACTTACACTAAAGCACTCAGAATTGAAAATGGACAACCACATATAGATTATTCTCCACAATTCCCTCCTCTTTTGTTTTTACCCTTCTTGGTCTTTTTTTCACTTAAATTACTTTGTTTTTTAAAACTGTTCTGGAAGTTTACTTTCTTTTTCATAGGAGGAGGAGCTTAATTTGGTTTCTAATAATAGTAGGTTATTTTGTTGGGTCATTAGGGGAATTTGTTTACCGATAGCTGTTTTAATTAACTTTAGTGTTAATCCCCTCACTCAAGGAATGATACAATATCCTATGGCTGTTAAGACCCCTGCCACAGTTACAAGAGATGTAAGAAATGAAGCTGCCATTCCTTTCCACTTTTTAAACCAACCTTTTAGCCAATCAGTAAAAGTGTTATTTATTCCTGCATTATTTGGCCATCTTATCGGCCAGAGTTGTTAGTTCTTGTAGTGTAGTGCCTTTGTAATGGTTTCAGCTGGGGCAGTATTGTTGGGAATGAATGTACAACATTTTCCTCCCAACATAGCACATACACTACCGTTTACTGCTAATATAATGTTCAGTGCAATTTTGTTTTCCCAAGACATTTGGCTAGTGGCATTTAGTTGGCTGGCTACACCCTTAAGGGCATCTTGAGTGTAACTGATGAATCTTTTCTGATTATAATAGATGTAATTGATCCAGTTTACCTTTTTCTTAATAGTTGACCACCAGAAGGTTGCTGACTTAAATCCAGCAGCTATTTGGTTTGGAGCCTTAAATGTATTAGACATTCCCCTAGGGATGCCTATGGAACTAATATATACACTGGGGTCAAAAGAACTTGTTAGATTTCTTTGGTCTCAATGACCATGTGTGTTTTTAAGCATTCTATGGAATGTCAGGGTGAAGGGAATAGCCAGTTGCACTAAAGCACAAGTTCCGGTTCAACTGGACGGTAACAAGTTAATGGAGGTTCTGTTTCCCACAATACCCCCAGACCTCTGCCTCGGGTTATATGAAGAGCAGAGTAGTTGCCACAGTCTGGCTTACCGGTGACATTTAGGATGTGGGTGCAGGTTGAAAGCTCCCCCATGGGTTTATTGAACCTCCCCTGCCCCCTGTTTAGAGAGACAAGAGGAGTGATGTATATTCCCTACAGAGCACGAGGGGATTGCTCTGGGATCTGCTCTCTGCAAGGTGGGAAAGAGCAATGACAGACTTTTACAAGTCTTATTTCCCCATGTATCTTTGTCTTGGTATAGAGCCAACATGCAATGCATTCCTTCGGAATTAGTATCCCATCCAAGGGGAAATGGAACCACCTGTGCCTGAGGTCAACCAGCAGTTCACACATAACAGTTACTCTTACTGTGGGCTTGTACTGAAAATTTATCCCATTTAACCCAGGCATTTAGATCTCCCTCCCCTGTTTTAATTTTTAATGTTTGTCTTAAATCTTGTACTTCGACTATTTCCACTCTCTTAGGGTTATCATTTGAAGCAAGGTATGGGGTTGGAATGGTGTTAGGCAGATGGGGAACTGAATTTCTATCTTAAACATAAATCACCCTCTGGGGTCTTTCACCTCAACATCAGCTCCCATTCCATATACTCAAGGGGCTACCATACCAGTTCTTAGTTCTTCTCCTAAGTCCCATGATCCTAAAAGAGCATGACTCCAAATAGTTAGGAGTATAGGATTACCTTCTAGGTTTTGACAATTAGTTGATGGGGAGCCCCTGTGTATACCTCACCCAAAATGAAATCTGATGTCCAACCCTGAGGCTTGGTGGTCCACCATATATCTTCCCAGGTATCACAAGGGGGTATATCAAGGCCCATGAAGGATTCCGGGCAGAGATACTTTTTTGCTCAAGAGAGCTGTCTCTGGTTTTCCAGACCTCCGCAAAGCAAGACTTGACAGGCATTCAATTTTATAGTAATGAGTGTTTTAGCTTCAGTCACATATGCATATGGTGTGGTTTTAGTTATCTTAATTACTAATGTAATTTGTCAATAAGGATATCCCTTCCAATTCGCCCAGTCCCTGTACCAGCCCCTAGCCCTTGGTATAGTAGCCCATCCTAGTCACATTAATTTCCATAGATGGGGCCAGCTTATGTTTCCTTTTCAGACTTTCCTTAGAGTTAGCTTTAGGGGTTCCTTTGGTGGCGCATATACCCCCACTGACTTTCCCTTCTAGGACCTTGTTTACCAGTCCCTTGACCTGTGTATAGTGAGTCCAGCCTCGTTTAGCTGCTCGCATGGCCATCTTAGTAGTCAGAAGCACTTGATAAGGACCTTCCCAGCTTGGGTAGAGCTTGTCTTCTTTCCAACTTTTAATTAACACTGAGTCGCCAGTTTGGAAGTGATGAACCACGAATTCAAGAGGCAGAATTTGAAATAGTACTTTTAACCTGAGGGAGGACAGAGTAGATGATATGGCCGGTATATAATTTTTTAAAGAATTGATCCTTACTTTTCGTGATGGGAAGGTCTGTACTCCTACCCACATATGGGAGTCCATATAATAATTTATAGGGGGACAGTCCCCAAGTTTTTCCAGGGGCTGTCCTAATTCTAAGGAGTGTAATGGGGAGGCACTTTGTGCAGGGCATTTTGGTTTATAGGATTAGTTTGGCAATATGTTTTTTGAGGGTTTGATTCATTCTTTCTAGTTTTCCAGAGGAAGGGGGACCCCATGGGGTATGATAATTTGATTTAATTTGTAAGCCCTCCATGATTCCCCTCAACACCACCGGAGTAAAGTGACTCCCATTGTCTGAATCAATGTTCTCTACCAGGCCAAATTTTGGTATAATTTGCTCTAAGATTATTTTAACCACATTCCCAGCAGTGGCATTCGTGAGGGGAAAGGCCTCCACCCAGCCACAGAGGTGATTCACTATTACCAGTAAATACTTTAGTCTCCCTGTTTTAGGCATTTCTGTAAAATCTATTTGAATGCTTTGAAATGGTCTCAGCCCGGGAGGTCTTCCCCCTGTAGTCTGCTTCCTAGTTACCTTTGGTTTATTTTCTGACAAGTTACACAGCCTCTGCATACTTGCTTAGAAGGGTATAGATTCCTGTGCAACTGTAAGTTTTTAGTATTGCATTACACGTAGCCTGAGGGCCCCAGTGACTTCCCATGTGCATTATGGACTTCAGTTCTCTCATTATGGGTTTACTTATCATTTCCCTCCCCTCGCGAAGCATCTGCCTCCCCTTCAGTTTGAGTTTCCTCCTTCTCTTTGGAAAATCAGGGTCTTCATACCACATTAGGGATATCTGAGATTAGGCTGAATGGTCTAACTTCTTTCTCCACGGAGGCTTGCATAGCAACTTCATCCTCAAGCCCGTTCCTTGCAGCTTCTACAGTGTTTCCTTTTTGATGGCCATTTACATGAACTATGGCTATTTCTGCCGAGAGCAAGGGGCTTTCTAAAATTTGTTTAATCGGTTCTCCATGTACCAATTCCTTTCCCCTGTTATTTAGTAGGCCCCGTTCTGACCAGATTTTCCAAAGGTGCCTACTACCCCGTAGGCATATTTGGAGTTAGTGTATATAGTGCCCTTTTGGCCTTTAAGGAGATTCAGAGCCTGATTATGTGCATGTAATTCACAGGTTTGGGCCGACCAATTATTAGGCAGCCTGTCCTTTTCACATAAGAGTTATTTGTTTCCATGAATGATAGCATAGCCATTATGTCTCTTGTCTTCTATCACTCAGGACGACCCATCTATAAACAGCCTGACTCTGTCATGTAGCAGGGCTTCCCTAAGGTCCCGTCTCATTTTAGTTTGGTAGTCTGATATCCAAGCAGTTATGGTTAAGAGCTCCTTTATCTTCTTCTCCCTTCCATAGGAAATTGGCTGTATTTAGGCAAGTATCTGTTGTTAAAACCAAATTTTTAAAATCTTTTTCTAACAATATGGCTTCATATTTTGGAATTCGGGAAATTGTTAACCATCTTCCAGCCTTCTGGTTTAATGTGGTCCTGACCTGTTGCAGGGTACTCACTATTAGAGCCCCATCAAAAGTTAGCTTTTGGCTCTCTTCTGCATGCAGAGCTGTAGCTGCTATCACTTGTACACATTCAGGCCACCTTCTAGAGACAGGATCAAGAAGTTTGGAAACAAAGATCCCCAGATTTGAGTAAGCACCCCAAGGGCAACACCCTGATCCACTGTCACCAACAAATGGAACGGTTTCTCTAGAGGTGGGAGGGCCAGGACCGGAGCTGTTACAAGAGCTTGCTTTTGTTCCTCTAATGCCTGAATTTCTTCTGGGGAACAGCCAAGGGATTAGGTTTCTTTTCTGGTAGTTTAAGATATAAAATTCTTATCTTTCAGGCATATGAGTCAATCCATAATCTACAATAGCCTGTTAAGCCTAGGAATTTCCAGATCTCTCTCTTTGTTGTAGGTAAAGGTAAGTCCACTACCCCAGATATCCTTTCTGGGTTCATTCTCTGCTTCCCTTCACTAATCACGTGTCCCAAGTATTTAATTTATTTTTCTACAAAGTGTAGTTTGTTTTTAGAGACTCATAATTTCTTTTCCCCTAGAAAATTTAGTAAACTTATGGTGGTTTCTGAAACCTCTGTCCTTTTTCCCCAGAGATTAAAAGGTTATCAATGTATTGTAACAACTGAGTTCCCCTAAGGGTTTGGAATTCTTCCGATACCCTTTAGAGGACCTGACCAAATAAGTTTGGGGCTTCAGTGAAACGATGTGGCAGCACAGTCCAGCGATGCTGCTGTTTCCTCCCGGTTGTGGGATTTTCCTATTTGATGGCAAAGAGATCTCTACTTTTAGATTCTAAGGAGCATGACCAAAATGCATCTTTCAGGACCACCACACTGAACCACTTGTGTTCATAGGGTATCTTACCAAGGAGATTGTAAGGATTAGCCACTATAGGGTGGCAGGCCTGAACAATTTGATTTATAGCCCTTAGATCCTGTACTAACCTGTATGACCCATGCAGTTTCTTGACTGGGAGAATTGGGGTACTGTATGGTGACATACAGGGTTCCAATAACCCATCTTTAACTAACTCTATTACCGGTTGGAGGCCTTTTCTTCCTTTAATGGGCACAGGATATTGTTTTCTATAGACGATTTCCCCAGGTTGTTTGAATTCAATTTGTAAGAGTGTGATTCTTAACCCTAAACTATTGTCTTTCCTAACCCATACAAGGGGATCAATTTTAGGTTACTTTCTTCTTCTTCAGATAGGAGACTCATGATCACATTTATTCATCCCTCCTCTACTCCTAATCCTAGGCCCAATCTTACAGTCAGGTCTTGATCCAGGAGGTTAGTTACTGCTTTAGGAACATATAAGAATGACTCTTTAATCTGTTCTGATCCTAATCTAATTACCATTTTCTTGAATAACCTGAAATCCCTCCCATTTTACCCCTGATACTGTTAGTTTTTCCTTAAAGACCTCTGTACCTTTTGGTTGGTGAATTACGGAGGAGCAAACTAAACCAGTACTGACCAAAAATGTTACTTCTTCCCCTTCAGGTCCCACCCTCCAATTTATCAAGGGTTCCTGGTGGGACCTACCCATAAGGAACCCCTGACTCTCCTAATCTTTATCAGAAGTTATAAGGGGATCACCTTCTCTTCCTTTTTCCATTCTGGGCACTCCCTCTTAAAATGTCCTGACTTCCCACATTTGTAACATAGACTTAAGAGTCTTGGGAACTTGTCATTGTCTTTCCCCCCAGCCTCTTTGCGGAAACCTAGTATTCTCTCATCTCCCCGAGAAGAGTCTTAACCCAGTCTCTTTCTGACTACTTCCTTACAATAGAGACCACAATCTTTGCCTTTTGTTTCTGTCTCTCTTCCTCCCTTCTTACAAAGAGTTTCTGTGCTTCCCTCAGCAACTCTTCAATCGACTTTTCATTCCAGCCCTCAATCTTTTGTAACTGTTTGGTGATATCTGGGCGGCTTTTGGTCACAAAGTTGACCTTTAGAAGACCCTGTCCTACTGGGTCCTCTGGATCTAATCTGGAGTATTTTCTCATCTGATCTCTAAGTCTTTGCAAGAATGCAGAAGGAGGCCGGGCGTGGTGGCTCACGCCTGTAATCCCAGCACTTTGGGAGGCCGAGGTGGGCGGATCACGAGGTCAGGAGATCAAGACCATCCTGACTAACACAGTGAAACCCCGTCTCTACTAAAAATACAAAAAAAAAAAAAAAAAATCAGCTGGGCGTGGTGGCGGGTGCCTGTAGTCCCAGCTACCTGGGAGGCTGATGAAGGAGAATGGTGTGAACCCGGGAGGCGGAGCTTGCAGTGAGCCGAGATAGCACCACTGGCAGTCCGGCCTGGGCGAAAGAGCGAGACTCTGTCTCAAAAAAAAAAAAAATGCAGAAGGAGTTTTCTCCTCCTGTTGAATCTTAAATGCCTTTGAGACATTCTGTGTCCTAGGAGTGGACTCTTTGATTCCTTTAATTATTAGCTCTGTAAGGTCCTGCATTTGGGCACGATCTCTGGGATTGTTATTATCCCATTCAGGATTAACATGCGGAAATTTTTGTTCAGCTGGCAGAACACCTTGGCTGGGAGGGTGCTGCCTTTCCCAAGTCGTCATAGGTGTGCTCCTAATCATTCCCTTTTCTTCCCCGGTAAACAGGATATTCATTATAGACATCATTTCAGCTCACATGTAAAAACTGGGTCCCAAAAATTGATCCAACTGTTCTGCTAACCCAAGGGGTCCTTTTAGTAGTGACTTCATTTCCTTTTTCAAATTTCTGACCTCATTACTTGTTAAAGGTGCATTTACAAATCCAATTTCTCCCTGTCCCATAGGGACTTCCCTGAGGGTGAACATATTAGACATCTGTTGTTTAGAGGGGAGAGGGAAGCTTTTAATATCCTTCTTGCATTGTTCTAACTCTTTTCTTAAACACTAATAAGGGTTTGAAGGAGCAGTTGGTCTAGTTTCCTCATGGCCTCCAGATCTCTCCCTTTCTGATTCTTCTATTGTTCCCTGATTTTCCTGCTCCCTATTTTGTCTGAGATATGGAGGGGGTGGGGCAGGAAAGAAAGGGGGCCCCAGGATTGCTCACTGGATAAGGGTTCTTCATTATGCTCTTTTTCTTTTTCTTTGAGGGGGAATATGGGTGTTAATTCCTTGATCCAACAGAGAGCATAATTTACCTCCTCTTGTAAAGGTGGGGTTCTATCGTTAACACAGAGAATTAAAGCTTGACATACCCAATTTTTAACTGAGCCAAACTTAGACCAAAAGACAGAGGGCTGATGAATGGGGTCTTTATGCCAGATAAAACAGCAATACTTTATTATCTTTTGTTTTTCCTTATCCCTGGTTTGGGAGTTATTCCCACAAGCCTGTAACAACCTTCCCAGTGGACTATCTGGGGGGATGTCAGAGGGGGTCTCCTTGGCTCCCTCCTTCTTTTGTTCCCTAGTCCTAGAATTTTTGCTTCCCATTTTCGGCTGGTCCCTTTGTTTGAGTTTCCCTGTGTACTCAACCCCCTACTGGAGGTTTCTTGCTCACCCCAAGAGTCAACCGCTTCACCCATCTCCGGCTGTTTCCCTCGCGAGAGAACAGAACCACACATTGGGACTCTGCACTCGCTTCGTGTCGAGAATACATCTCAGTCACACAATCTCACTCGACCTCTGAAAATGCCCAACTACCAAGGCAGTACTTGCAGTTTAATTTTCCTACCGTGGCTTATGCACGAGGTTGCCTGCTTGCTGCAGTGCCTGCTTTTCTCTCTCTGCCACCTCCGCTGCTTCCTGAATAACAATCTCGGGTTTATCTATGGCCTCAGCAGGGAGCTGGGACTCCTGGACAGAGCAGGCCACCTAAGTAGGGTGGGACGTATCTCCCCTCTCAGCCGGGGACCCACTCCACGCAGGCACAGAGATCCCAAATGAGCCCCCAGATTGTGAGAAACAAACTCACCCGTCCAAACCCAAAGAATGGACTCAGGGGCACGGAGAAGAGCAGAAGCAAAACTTTAATGGCGGTCTTGCAAGATTGGGTATCTGGCATGCAGGCATACCCGGAACAGTTTCAACAAGCAATTTATTTCCTAGTGCACAGGTCCCTCTCCCAGTTCCTCATCGACTGAGTGCTATGGGGTTACAATCTTTCCAAACATCGCCTATTGGTAGCGGGGTGAAGGCTTCAAGTCTGTTCTTTAGGGTCTTTTTGCTGCATTTTATTGCAGCCCATAATGCATTGCAGCTGGCTCAGGACTCTTTAAACATTTGATTTATGGCCCCAGTGGCTACACGGATAAGAAAGGGTACAATTATCTATGTTGCAGGCTAGCCTAAACTAAATTCTTTCATGGGGTGGGAAGGGGGGACTTAAGCGGGATAGCCTGACTAATAGGGGCCTGGCCACTGAGTGACAGGGAAAGCAGAAAGGCAAGGTGGTGGCTCATAGCTCAGTACATTCTGCTTCTTTATTCCTTTATTTCCATGAAGCCTGCTTAAACTTATACTAAAGCACTTAGAATTGAAAATGGACCACCACATGTAGGTTATTCTCTATAGTCATAAACTCAGGTTTAAAGAAAAAGAAGCATTGAAGAAGATATAAGTGAAGTTAAATAAAAACGTTTGCTATTCTTTAACAGATAACAGATTGTAAAAAAAAAAAAAAAGCAAGGAAGTATTCAATTATGTATGCTTGTCTGTGTGTGTGTGTTTGCTTACATATAACTGAATGGGCAGCAATAATACAAAAGGCAAGAGGAAGACATTAATATCATTTTGCTACTAAAAGATCATGCACTACCCATTAAGTGGTGTAATATTAATTGAAAGTGGACTTGGATTAGTCATAAATGTATATTGCGAACTCTAGAGCAACCACTACAAAATTAAAATTAATTTACTAAGAAAGAAAATATTGATCACAAATAATAATATAAATTCTCAATTAAAATTATAAAAAACAAAAGAGTGAAAGACAAAATAAGAACAAAAAACAAGGCCAACAAATAGAAAAGAATAACAAATATAGTACATATTAATACAAATAGCTAAACAATCACTTTGAGAGTCAATGCTCCAAATATACAGATTAAAGTGTAACAATTTTTAGAATAGATTAAAAGATAAGACCCACGGATCTTTTGTCTTTAATAAACCCACTTTAAATATAAAGACACATGTAGATTAAAAGTAAATGGATGGTGAAACATAGACCATGCTAGCACCAATCAAAAGCAAGCAGAATTAGCTGTGTTAATTTTAGAAAAAGCATACTTCAGAGCAAAGAAAATTATGGGGAACAAAGAGAGGAATTACCTCATGATAAAGTGGTCAATTCTAGAAGAAGAAATTCCAGTTCTTAATGTGTATGCACCTAACTACACAGCATCCAAATATGTGAGGTAAACCTGATAGAACTGGAAAGAGAAATAGATTAACCCACAATAATAGTAGATTTCAACATCTGCTCCATCAGAAATAGACAGATCCAGTCAGCATAAAATCAGTAAGGACATCATTGAATTGAACAACACCATCAATCAACTGGATGTAATTGACATCTATAGACTACTTCATCTAACAACAGCAGATTACACATTCTTCTTAAACTCACATGGAATACTCATTGAGATGGATCAAATTTAGGATCATGAAATGCATCTTAACACATTTAAAATAGAAATCATATAATGTCTGCTTTCAGAACTCAGTGAAATCATACTATAAATCCATGACAAAAAGATAGTTGGAAAATCCCAAAATAGATGGAGATTAAATAACACATTTCTAAATGACACATAGGTCAAAGGAGAAGTCTCAAGTTAATTTTTTTAGTTAAATCAAAATGAGATACAACTTAGCAAAATTTATGATATATAGCTCAAGTAGTGCTTAGAGGGAAATTTAAGTGATTTAATGTATATATTGGAAACGAAGTAAGATATAAAATTAATGAGCTATGCTTCCACTTTAGGAAACCAGGAAAAGAAGGGCAAATTAAATCCAAAGTAAGCAGAAGAAAAGGAATAATAAAAATTAGAGTAGAAATAAATGATATTGGAATATTGAAATTACTAGAGAAAATCAACAAAATCAAAGCCTGGTTCTATGAAAATATTAATAAAATCAATAAACCACTAGTGGGGCTATGAAGAAAAAAGTGGCAAAGACACAAATTTATAATATCAAAAATAAAAACTATCACTACAGATCCAATGACATTAAAAGGATAATAAAAAATGTCTTAACAACTTTGTGTGTCTACAAATTTGGTAACACAGAAGAAATGAACCAATCCTTAAAAAATATAATGGCCAGGCGTGGTGGCTCACATCTGTAATCCCAGAAGTTTGAGAGGCCGAGGCAGGCAGATCACAAGGTCAGGAGATCGAGACCATCCCAGCTAACATGGTGAAACCTTGTCTCTACCAAAAAAATACAAAAAAAATAGCTGGGCCTGGTGGCGGGTGCCTGTAGTTCCAGTTACTCGGGAGGCTGAGGCAGGAGAATGGGGTGAACCCAGGAAGCAGAGCTTGCGGTGAGCAGAGATCAAACCACCGCACTCCAGCCTGGGTGACAGAGCAAGACTCTAAAAATATATATATATATAATTTGTGAAAACTCCCACAAGAACAAGTAGATAATGTGAATATGCCATATTTATTTTGTAATTAAATTAATAATAATTATTTACCCTTAAATATAGAAAGTATCAGACCCAAATGGTTCACTTGTGAATTCTACCAAACATCTAAAGAAGAAATTATATCAATTCTCTACAATCTCTTCCAGAAGATAGAGGTAGAGGGAATACTTCCTAGGTCATTCTATGAGGCTAGTATTACCCTAATACCAAAACCAGATAAAGACATTACTGGAACTGACATCTCTCATGAATATAGAGGCAAAAATCTTTAACAAAATATTAGCAAATCAAATCCAACAATATTCATAAAGAATTATATAATACAACCAAGTGGGATTTATCTCAAGTGTGCAGGGCTAGGTCAACGTTAGAAAATAAACTAATGCAATTCATTACATCCACAGACTAAAGAAGAAAAATTATATTAACTTATCAATGGATGCAGAAAAAGTACTTGACAAAATTCAACACCCATTTATGATAAAAACTCTCAGCAAATTAAGAATAGAAGAAAACTTCAAATTGATAAAGAATAGCTACAAAAAATCTTATAGCTAACGTCATACTTAATGGTGAGAAATTAGAAGTTTCTCTCTAAGATAAGGAATGATGTTAAGGATGTCCCCTCTCACTACTCCTTTTCATTACCACTGGAAGTCTTGGCTAATGCAAAAAGACAAGACAAGAAGAGAAAAGAAAGTATATGCACTTAGAAAGGAAGAGATAAAACTAACTTTAGTCTTAAATGACATGATTGTTGATATAGAAAATCCAAAAGAATCAACAACAACAACAAAAAGCTTCTGGAACTAGTAAGTGATTATAGCAAAGTTGCAGGATACAAGGTTAATATACAAAAACATTCCTTGCCCTATATACCAGCAATGAACAATTGAAATTTGAAATTTAAAATATGATACCACTTACATTAGCACCAAAAAGGCATGAAATAATTAGGTATAAATTGAACCAAATATGTGCAAGACATATATGAGCAAAACTACAAAATTCTGATGACAGAAATCAAAGAAAAAATAAATAAATGGAGAGCTATTTATTTATAAAGAAATAGGAAGAGTCAATATTTTTAATATGTCAATTCTTCACAGTTTGATCTATAGATTCAATGCAACCTCAATAAAAATGCCAGCAAATTACTTTGTAGATATTAAGAAACTGATTATGAGTTTTATTTCGAGAGAAAATAGACCCCAAATGACCAACACAATATGGAGGAAGAACAAAGTCAGAAGATCGGTACTACCTGACTTCAAGACTTACTATAAAGCTGCACTAATCAAGACAGTGTGGTTATGGTGAAACAATAGATAAATAGTTCAATAGGACAGAATTGAGAGCCCTGAAACAAACTCACATAAATACGGTCAAATAATATTTGACCAAAGGGCAAAGATAATGCAGTGGAGAAAAGAAGGTAGTCTTTTCAAGAAAAAGAGCTGGAACAACTGGAAATCCACATGCAGAGAAAAAAAAAAACTGGAAACAGACCTTTTACTCTTCCCACAAAACTTTTAAATTTATAGATAATAATAGGAAAATATCTAGATGACCTTGGGTATGGTGATTACTTTTAGACATAATACCAAAGGCATGAATCACAAAATAAATATTTTATAGGCTGGACTTAATTAAAATTTAAAAGTCTGCAAAAGACATTGTCAAGAACACTAAAAGATAAGGAAGATAAGTCACAAACAAAAAGAAAATATTTGCAAAATGTCTATCTGATAAAGTGGTTATCCAAAATATACAAAGAACTTTTTAAAATTCAACAATGAAAACATCCTAATTTTCTAATAAGGAAAAGACCTGAACAGACACCTCAAACAAAGAAGATATATGTGTCAAATAAGCATATGAAAAAATGCTTAATATATGTCATTAGGAAATTGTAAATTAAAACATTACCCACATATTAGAATGGTCCAAATCCAAAACGCTGACAATACCAAATACTGGAGAGAAAGTGGAGCAACAGGAACTCTCATCCATTGCTGATGGGAATTCAAAATGGTGCAGCCACTTCGGAAGACAGTCGGTCAGTTTCTCACAAAACTAACCATACTCTTGTATATGATCCAACAATCATGCTCCTTAGTATTTACCTAAATGAATTGAAAGCATATGTCCACCCAAAAACCTGCACACAAATGTTTAAAGCAGCTTTATTCACAATTGTCAAAACTCGGAAGCAACTA